>NC_000022.11:29618654-29770170 GCF_000001405.40 Homo sapiens | reverse complement strand
GTGAGGTATTTAAGAATGGAATTACTGGCTTAGAAGCCAAAGTTGACTGTAATATCTCCAACTCTGGCTCCTGTTTTGAAAACCAGAATTCTTTGGAAGTTAATGGAAAACTCAAAATAGCAGATTCTGCCTTTGGGGTGTTTGCAGAGGGCTTTGAAGTGGTCTCAAATTACTGACAAGTGAAGATCAGGTAGAGTTAACAAAGCAACCAATGTAGAAGCAGGTCTCAAGGGCAATTCACATTTATTTCCTGAGCATGCTGACTAAACATACTTCAAACACAGCAGAAGGTAAAGAGTCTGTTTTGTAAGTAAAGCCGTTTCTTGCCAACAGCGAATGGTGGTCCATGAAGAGTACCTTGAGCATCATCTTCAAGCTGAGGCTCCAGCTCTGGGCAAACAGCTGCTGGGTGGACCTGGTCCTTCTGGCCTGGATGGGGGCCTCCAAGGAACTACTTGTTCTCATACTTGTGCTTGATGTGTTTCCACAGCTTCTGCATTTTAAAGACAAGAGCCACAAACTTTGACCTTTGCCTCTCACATTTTACAACTACTCCCACTGCCCTGGTCTCTAAAATGAGCTTGGGGGAAACACATGCCATGTCCTGATTAAAAAGATACACTTGTGGTGGGCAAACTCGAAGCAATCCTATGCTTGATGCACATTTTTTTTTTGAGACGGAGACTCGCTCTATCGCCCAGGCTGGAGTGTAGTGGCGCAATCTCGGCTCACTGCAACCTCAGCCTCTTGGGTTCGAGCGATTCTCCTGCCTCAGCTTCAAGAGCAGCTGGGAATACAGGTATGCGCTACCCGGCTAATTTTTGTATTTTTAGTAGAGATGGGGTTTCGCCATGTTGGCCAAGCTGGTCTCAAACTCCTGACCTCAAGTGATCTGCCTGCCTTGGCCTCCCAAAGCGCTGGGATGACAGGTGTGAGCCACCGCGCCGAGCCTTCATGCATAATTCTTGGCATTTATAAAATACTATGATGCTTTCAATCACCAGGTGAAGTAAGTGGAAAGGGGTGATCTTAATTTCACAGGAAATTCAGTTTGAGATTGAGGGAAGTGCCCCAAAACACACAATTATTAAGGAAAACAGCCTGGAAGATGTCTCAGTTCTTCAACTCCCAGGTATTACTGAAGAGATTATAAGTGCGTAGTCCCAAAATATTTCACCATGAGCCATTTAAGACATTTCCTGGGACCTAAATTGGCTGAAATTCTCATTCCCAGAAGCACAAGAGGTTGAGCACAGTGGCTCACGCCTGTAATCCCAGTACTTTAGAAGGCTAAGGCAGGAGGACTGCCTGAGCTCAGGAATTCAAGACCAGCCTGGGCAACATGGTGAAACCCCATCTCTACAAAAAATACAAAAATTAGCTGGGCGTGGTGGCGCATGCCTGTGGTCCCAGCTACTCAGGAGGCTGAGGTGGGAAGATCACTTGAACCCAGGAGGTCAAGGCTGCAGTGAGCTGTGATCATGCCACTGCACTCCAACCTGGGCGACAGAGTGAGATCCTGTCTCAAAAAAACAAAACAAAACAAAAAAAAGCACAAGGAAAATGGGTGAGTTATAACAACATACTTGGATGTCTCTCCAGATCAATGGGAGTGGTTAACAGAACCACTTGCAAGAGATGGGACAGTAGCAATGCTTTCATATGGGGCAGGAAGTTGCACTGGTCACAGGCAGCATAGCACTAGTGGACAGTGCCTTCCCGGGCTGCAGAGTCAGACAGTCTCAAATTAAAAACACAAGTGAGTGGTGGAACAGGGCTATATGTATAAGGCCTACTCCAGCACAGTCATAATTTAGCGATATAAAGCATGCACTGCACCTAGCACAGTGCATGATACATAAAAGTCAAAAATGTGTTGCGATTCCTACCTCATGCTTCCACTTTCTCCTGAGGAATGTAAGCAATGATTATTTTTCAGTGGTACCACCTACCAGGCATGTGGCACCCTGCCTGCATCTCATGTAATCCTCACAATCGTGCTCAGGTTACTATTAATATCTCCATCTCACAGTTAAAACGGAGTTCAGAGAAGAAACTTGCTCAACTTAATGCCACAGTTAAGTGACAAGGACCAGTGTTCCTATCCAAGGCTTTCTGATTTCATAGCCCCCACTCTCAACCATTAATACCAACTGTCTACGTGGGAAGCCTTGGGGACCAGAAGCGCCGTCTGAAACTTCAGCCACGGCGTCTAAGGTGTCTAACGTCCTTTTCACGACCGTCGCCTGCTCAAATCTGCCCTTGAAACTCTGAGAGACAGGGGTCCCGTTTCTGGCCCTGACTTGCCCCTGGCTTCCTGTGCAGCTAGTAAGTCCTTTGCTCTCACTAGCCTTTAGTTTTTGCTTCTGATAATGGGCAAGTGGGTATGTAGGGTGGCACACAGCAATACTTACAACCCCTGCAAAATGAAATATATTAACCTCGCTTAACGTTTTAGAATTCACATCAAGCCAAGGGGACAGACGGCGGACTCGAGACAGAAGACGCCGACGGTTTACCCCTTACCCCCTTCCTGGTAAAAGTATACTGAGTCCCATCCCACCTCTACTCCACTGTCACCCCTCAGGCGGGTCCAAGGTCAGGGATGGCACAGGCCCTCACCCCCTCGTTGATGTGGTCGTAGATAGCGTCCGCGCCTTGATCGAAGGCGCGCTCGAAGAACATGACGCCCACGATGATGGTGAGGGCGAAGGTGGAGGTCCTGCGGAACAGCAGGGAGTACAATTTCGAAGTCAACGTCGCGGCCGCCATGTTTCTTCACAGTCCAACTCGCGCCACCGCGCCTGCGCTGGGGCCGACCTCGTTCCCCAAAGGCCCTAGACGTGCAACACTTTATGGGATTTGTAGTTCCTCTGAATCTCAGCCTTCGTGTTTTGAACCACAGAGGTATTCCTATCCTGGGAATGAGGAAAAAAACTCAAAAGGTTCATATCAGGACAGCCCAGATAATCTGATAAGATTTATTACCCAATTTTTCTTCTCCAGAATTCCTGGCTGTTAGAATATGTCAAACTACAACTCCCAGAAGCCCTCGCGCGCCATCACCTTCTCCCCGCCCTCCGCCCAGTCCCGGCTTAGATTCCCAAAGCTCTCTGGGAAGGGCGAACTGATGGCCAAGGCGAGACTACGAATCCCAGCAAGCAGTACGCGACGCGAGGACGCAGGAGGAGGAGCCCGGAGCTGCAGCCACCGGGGAGCCAGGTACCTTCCGCGAGACGTCGAGGGGCGAGTCCTAGTCTCTTTTCTCCGCACTGGAAGACTTGAACACTTCCTTCTCTGTGCGTACGCCCTGCGGCGGGACGCACCATTTCTTGGGATAGGGTGTGGATAGAGGGGCGAGGGCAGCTGGGTTCCCGAGACCCTGGCTCAACTCTTCGCCTTGTCCCCTGCACCAGCCCCAAGTCTAGGCCAGGAGCTGGAGCCTGCGGCAAAAGTCTTGTCCTGGAGGTTAAACCCTTCACCCTGGATTAAGGGCAGGGACGGATCTGCCCTGCTTCCTGTTCCTCTCACCCCTGGGCTTCGCACCGGGCAACCCTGGTTTGGAAGGCTGGAGACTTGGAACCTGCTTGGGATTGAAAAGAGCAAGGGCTTTGGAGTACCTGGGGCATTCAACAGATGTTTTCCCAGCGCCTGTTCTGGTCCCTGCTCTGGGGACCCAGCAGTGAACAAAGTCCTTGCTCTCACAGAGCGCTCAATCTACGGAGTGGGCGGGTGGGGAGATGCAGTACAGCAAACAGATAGTGCTTTGGTTGACTGGAGAGGCAGTGGTGGTGACATTGCACCCTGGGTAGCTGCTCTGGGGGGTGACACTTGACTAGAGACCTGAATGAATAGTAGAGTTGAACAGGAAAACGTTGGTGCAAAGGCCTTGAGGCAGCTACAGTCCTGGGATGTTTGAGGGAAAGAAGTAGAGTGGACTGTGAAGAGGTTGACTCCGGTCAGCTCATGTCTGGCCTTGGAACCCACCTTACGGAGTCTTGTTTTCTTTGGTTTTTGTTTTTAGAGACAGGGTCTCACTGTGTTGCCCAGGCTGGTCTCCAACTCCTGGGCTCAAGCAATCTTCCTGCCTCGCCCCCCAAGGTGCGTGAGCCACCGCGTCTGGCCAAGGAGTCTTGTCTTTTTCTAGTTGCACTAGGAGGCCATTGAAGGGTTTTCAGGAGAAATGCGACAAGATTTAATGTGCACTTTAATGTCATCATCCTGGCTGGTCTATGGAGAGTGGACCGCAAGGGGGAAGTTATTGTAGTAGATCATTTGAGGGAAGATGGGTGGTTATTTATTTGAGATGGAGTCTCGGTCTGTCGTCCAGACTGGAGTGTAGTGGTGCTATCTCGGCTTACTGCAACCTCCGCCTCCCGGGTTCAAGTGATTCTCCTGCTTCAGCCTCCCGAGTGGCTGGGATTACAGGCGCCTGCCACCATGCCTGGCTAATTTTTTTTTTTAGTAGAGACAGGGTTTCACCATGTTGGCCAGGCTAGTCTCAAACTCCTGACTTCAGGTGATCCTCCCATCTTGGCCTCCCAAAGTGCTGGGATTACAGGCGTGAGCCACCATGCCCGGCCTGATGGGTGGTAATTTAGGTTAGGGTGTGGAGCAGGGCAGTGATCAGATTTGGGATGTAATTTGGGAGGGAGGGCAGACAGAGCAAGCTAGCAGATGTGTGTAGGGTGCACAGGAAAGAGGAATTGAGGAGGATATCTAAGTTTTTTTTGTTTTTTGTTTTTTGTTTTTTTTTGAGACAGAGTCTCACTCTGTGCGGCTGGAGTGCAGTGGCACAATCTTGGCTCACTGCAACCTCTGCCACCCATGTTCAAGCAATTCTCATGCCTCAGCCTACTGAATAGCTGGGATTACAAGCGGATGCCAACACGCCCAGCTCATTTTTGTATTTTTAGTAGAGACAAGGTTTCACCATGTTGGCCAGGCTGGTCTTGAACTCCTGGCCTCAAGTGATCCGCCTGCCACGGTCTCCCAAAGTGCCGGGATTACAGGTGTGAGCCACCGCGTCCAGCTGACATCTAAGTTTTGACCTCAACAATTTAAAATCAACAGAATGATCTTAAGTTCTGTTTTGGCCACATCAGTTTGAGCTAGCCAACAGACATCAAGTGGAGGTGTCTAGAGGCAAATGAGGACATGGATCTGTAGTTTAGAGGAGAGGTATGAGCCTGAGAAGAGTCATCCGGATAGGGGTGGCATTCAAAACCAGGGACTGGGCTGGGGATGGTGCCTCACACCTATAATCCCAGTGTTTTGGGAATCCAAGGCAGGAGGAACACTTGAGGCCAAGAGTTGAAGACCAGCCTGGGCCGTATAGTGAGACCGTCTCCATGAAAAACAAACTAGGGGCCAGGCGCGGTGGCTCACACCTGTAATCCCCACACTTTGGGAGGCTAAGGTGGGTGGATCACTTGAGGTCAGGAGTTCAAGACTAGCCTGGCCAACATGGTGAAACCCTGTCTCTACTAAAAATACAAAAAAATTAGCCAGGTGTGGTGGTACCCGCTTGTAATCCCAGCAACTCGGGAGGCTGAGGCAGGAGAATCGCTTGAACCTGGGAGGCGGAGGCTGCCACTAACTGAGATCGCGTCACTGCACTCCAGCCTGGGTGATGGAGCTCAAATGAAAACAAAACAAACAAAAACTAGGGATTGGATTGCAGGCCTGGCTCTGCCTCTGACTCTGACATTGATCAGGCTTTAACTCTCTTTTAATTCATCTGTAAAGAGCAACAGTAATACCAGGTTAGGGGATCAGAAGGTAAAATGTGAAATGCTTTACATCCATGAGTTATCCTTACTGTGGTTTTATACTATTTGCAAAGCATCCTGGGAGCCCCTCAGAGCAGGAAGTTGTGAGGCTCCAGGGGAAGACTACTTAGGTCTTGCTAATCATTTCCAACCAATCTGGCTGATGGGAAGTTCAGAGGAGGGAGAAATGAGTAGGGAAGACCACAGGGAGTTAAAGGTGTGGCTTGTTTCATTTGGTTTTATTATGTTTTATTTTTGTAGAGACAGGGTCTCCCTCCATTGCCCAGGCTGGAGTACAGTGGCACATAATTCCTGGTTGTAATAATCATAGTTCCTTGCAGCCTGGAACTCCTGGGCTCAAGCAATTCACCTGCTTCAACCTCCCAAATAGCTGGGATTACAGGTGTGCACCACCATGCTGGGTTATTATTATTACTATTATTATTTTGAGAAAGGGTCTTACTCTGTTGCCCAGGCTGGAGTGTAGTGGCACGATCATAGTTCACTGCAGCCTCGAACTCCTGGGCTCAAGTGGTACTCCCACCTCAGCCTTCCAAGTAGCTGGGACTACAGGTGCATGCCACTATGCCCCACTAATTTCGTTTTCTGGTTTTCTTATAGATTTTTTGTAAAGACTAAAAAAATTTAGGGGTGTCACCATGTTGGCCAGGCTGGTCTCAAATTACTGAGCTCAACTGATCCACCCACCTTGGCCTTCCAAAGTGCTGGGATTACAGACATGAGCCATCTCCCCAGCCTAATTTTTATTTATTTATTATTATTATTATTATTTTGTTTGAGACGGAGTCTCGTTCTGTTGCCCAGGCTGGAGTGCAGTGGCACCATCTCGGCTCACTGCAACCTCCGCCTCCTGGGTTCAAGTAATTCTCCTGCCTCAGCCTCCTGAGTAGCTGGGATTACAGGCGCCCGCCACCACACCCAGCTAATTTTTGTATTTTTAGTAGAGAAGGGGTTTCACCATGTTGGTCAGGCTGGTCTTGAATCTCTGACCTCGTGATCCACCCACCTCGGCCTCCCAAAATCCTGGGATTACAGGTGTGAGCCACCGCACCTGGCCTTATTTATTTATTTATTTATTTATTTATTGAGGCAGAGTCTCGCTGTGTTGCCCAGGCTGGAGTGCAGTGGTGCAATCTCAGCTCACTGCAACCTCTGCCTCCTGGGTTCAAGTGATTCTGTTCTCTCAGCCTCCCGAGTAACTGGGATTACAGGCACCTGCCACCACGCCCGGATAATTTTTGTATTTTTAGTACAGATGGGTTTTCACCATCTTGGCCAGGCTGGTCTAGAACTCCTGACCTCAGGTGATCTGTCCGTCTCGGCCTCCCACCCAGCCTAATTTAAAAAAATTTTTTTGTAGAGAGAGGGTCTTGCCACATTGCCCAGGCTGGTCTCTAACTCCTGGCCACAAGGGATGCTCCCACCTTGGCCTCTCAAAGTACTGGATTTTGGTTTTATATTTTATCTTTTAAATTCTCATTCGGAGGTAATCATTTAAAAAACGTAATTTCCCTTAAACTAGCAGTCCCCAACCTTTTTGGCACCAGAGACCAGTTTTGTGGAAGACAGTTTTTCTATGGACGGGATACAGGAGGGGGATGGTTTCAGGATGATTCAAGTGGATTATATTTATTGTGCACTTTATTTCTGTTATTACATTGTAATATATAATGAAATAATTATACAGCTCACCATAATGTAGAATCAGTGGGAGGCCTGAGCTTGTTGTCCTGCAACTAGACGGTCCCATCTGGGGGTGATGGGAGACAGTGACAGATCAACAGGCATAGATTCTCATAAGGAGCGTGCAACCTAGATCCCTCGCATGCGCAGTTCACAATAGGATTCGTGCTCCTATGAGAATCTAATGCTGCCGATGATCTGACAGGAGACGAAGCTCAGGCGGTAATGCGAGCAATGGGGAGTGGCTGTAAATACAGATGAAGCTTCGCTTACTCACCTGCCACTCACCTCCTGCTGTGCGGCCCAGCTCCTGACAGGCCATGGACCCGTACCGTTCCGGGGCCTGGGGGTTGGGGTCCCCTGCTTTAAGCCATGTATTTCAACTTAGAAATTATTATTCAATACATAAATATCGGCAAATAAGAAAAATGACCTTAATTTTTTTATTAATATTTGAACTCAAGTTGAAGATTCTGAATTTCTCAAGACACTCATCCCTATTTACAGCTTAATTTCATTCCTGCCAACATTTTAAATCTATTTGTAAATTTAATATATTTGATTTTCTTTTTAAGTACTTTATATGAATAACATAACAAGCACAGTTTTCCCCAGAGTAAAGAGTTACTACAAAATCTAATCAATTAAACTTATAATGAATTTCAAGTTCTTATAAATAATTATTTTTACAGACTTAGTAAAATTCTCTATGTCAGTGGCTCTTAGTTTAGGGAGCTAAAAAGAACAAAAACAAAAAAACAGGCTGTATTTCTGACATGAAATAGGAATATATGGGGGGCCCCTTAGTAACCTTTACAGCACCCCAGGTAATTCTGTTATACAGTCCATATTTCCAATCATTGCTAACCTCTCAATCTAAAATCACAACTCTAATATCAATTACTGACATATATTTTGTCACTAACTCTATATTTTAACTTTTGTATTTTAAATAGGAATCACAATGCTTATCTGTTAGACACTCAACATATCACATTTTTTTTTCAATATTACAGATACTTTTTTTGTTTTAGGCATTAGATTCTCATAAGGAGCACATAACCTAGATCCCTCGCATGCACAGTTCCCAGTAGGATTGTTCTGAGACAGTGTCTCACTCTCTCACCCAGGCTGGAGTGCAGTGGTGCAATCTTGGCTCACTGCAGCCTCCATCTCCCTGGGCTCAAGCGATCCTCCTACCTCAACCTCTTGAGCAGTAGTAGCTGGGACCACAGGCCCGAGCCCGCACCACCATGTCTGGCTAATTTTTTAAAAATTATTTGTAGAGACAAGGTTCCCCTATGTTGCCCAGGCTGGTTTTGAACTCCTGGGCTCAAGTGATCCTCCTGCCTCCCAAAGTGCTGGGATTACAGGTGTGAGCCACCATGCCCTGTCTACAGCTATTTTTTTTTTTTTTTTTTTTTTTGAGACGGAGTTTCACTCTCACCAGGCTAGAGTGCAGTGGCACAATCTCGGCTCACTGCAACCTCCGCCTCCCAGGTTCAAGCAATCCTCCTGCCTCAGGCTCCTGAGTAGCTGGGACTATGGGTGCGCACCACCACGCCCAGCTAATTTTTATATTTTTAGTAGAGACAGGGTTTCACCACGTTGGCCAGGATGGTCTCGATCTCTTGACCTTGTCATCCGCCTGCCTCAGCCTCCCAAAGTGCTGGGATTACAGGCGTGAGCCACCGTGCCTGGCCAACAGCTACTTTTTAATTCCAAAATATACAGATTATTACTAAATTTAGGATAGGAACATTAATACAGTGAATTTGATTTGCTCTTATGCTTCTATTTTTAATTCTAAACTTTCCAGGAGTGTGACAAGACACTTATCTAGTAAGAAAACAGCTTTATCCACTTTAACTAATTGTGCTTAGCATCAAGTTGGATTACCACTTCAGTGACCTGAGGTTATTCATAATTGGACTGATTTCTAGCTGGGACATGAGTCCAGGGGGCTGTGTCTACCCAGAATAACTGTCCCCAGCAGAGGCTGCATTTGGAACTCAAGGGAAAGTTCATTCCTCCAGGCTTTTGCTTCTTAAGGGGTATTAGACTTGCTAGTTAAAATGCAGATTTCTAGGTCCCCCTCCAGATCTGCTAAATCAGGATTTCTGGGGACCTGACCCAGGAGACTATTTTTTTGTTTTTGAGACAGAGTCTTGCTCTGTCACCCAGGCTGGAATACAGTGGCACAATCTGGGCTCACTGCAACCTTCACCTCCTGGGTTCAATCTCGTGCCTCAGCTTCCCAAGTAACTGGGATTACAGGTGTGCACCACCACGCTGAGCTAATTTTTTTTTTTTTTTTTTTGAGACAGAGGAGTCTGTCTCTGTCACTCAGGCTGGAGTGCAGTGGCACAATCTCGGTTTACTGCAAGCTCCGCCTCTCAGGTTCAAGCGATTCTCCTGCCTCAGCCTCCTGAGTAGCTGGGATTACAGGCGCCTGCCACCATGCCCAGCTAATTTTTTTTATTTTTTTATTTTTTGAGACGGAATCTCGCTCTGTTGCCCAGGCTGGAGTGCAGTGGTGCAATCTCGGCTCGCTGCAACCTCCGCCTCCCGGGTTCAAGAAATTCTCCTGCCTCAGCCTTTCGAGTAGCAGGGACTACAGGCTCGTGCCGCCATTCCCAGCTAATTTTTTGTATTTTAGTAGAGATGGGGTTTCACCATGTTGCCCAGGGTGGTCTCAAACTCCTGAGCTCAGGCAATCCACCCACCTTGGCCTCCCAAAGTGCCAGGATTACAGGCATGAGCCACCGTGCCCGGCCTAATTTTGTATTTTTAGTAGAGACAGGGTTTCACCATGTTGGCCAGGCTGGTCTTCAACTCCTGACCTCAGGTAATCTGCCCGCCTAGCCTCCCAAAGTGCTAGGATTACAGACATGAGCCACCATGCCCGGCCCCCTTTTATTTTTTTGAGACAGGGTCTCACTCTGTTGCCCAAGCTGGAGTACAGTGGCATGATCAGAGTTCACTGTAACTTCAGACTCCTGGGCTCCAGTGATCCTCCCATCTTAGCATCTTGAGTAGCAAGGACTACAGACACATGACACCCCAACTGGCTAATTAAAAAAAAAATTTTTTTTTAGAGACGGGGTCTCACTATGTTGCCCAGGCTGGTATTGAACTCGTGACCTCAACTGATCTGCCTTGGCCTGCCAAAGTGCTGGGGTTACAGGTGTGAGTCACTGCATTTAGCTGAGATTCATTTTTAATAAGTTTCTCACTTGGAAGCCATGGAAAATTTTGAGCAGGGATGATTTAAGGAGAGTTGATCTGATGCTGCTTATGATACAGTGAATGGAGGGGGCTGTCCAGATGTGAGGAGTCCAGAGGTGAGGAGCTGAGTTCTTTCTTGGGCAGTAGTGACAGTGGAGATAGAGGATCAGATGATATTTGGTGCCCAGACTCGGGAGAGAAGAAGCGGGAGGCAGAGACAGTTCTGAGTCCAAGTATCTGGTTCAGGAGCCTCATTCAGACTATTTTTACCTTTCCTATTTGGAAACTCTGGCCTCTTGGGACCTGTAACTATCTGATGAGAAACTTGTCTCCAGCCCGCAGTTCCTGGAGCCCAGATTCAGGCTCAGCCGACCTTCACCAGGCCTTGGGGTGTGCTAGGCCAAGTCTGGTTGGAATCAGGGTTTGCCTTGTCAGTCTTCATCCAGGGGGTGAGGGGAATGTCTGCTCTATTTCTTTCACTTACCACCCCTGGCTGGTTCATCCGAGTGAACCAGGTCTCTGGAACCCTCCATGGCAGCCTCCAGAGGGAGAAGGAATAGGATTTATCCCCGCCTTACAAATTTCCCTCTTGTTCTTTTTCTCTTTTTTAGAGGCTAGTCAAGCGAGGCAGTGGGAGTGCAGAAGGAACAAAGAAATCTGTATCTGGTTGTGATCAGTTAGTCACCAACACTGCTGCACTTGGACTAGCCCCCCACTTTTTTTGAAGGGACTTTTTGTGTGTGTGTAAATTTTAAAACAATACATGCCAAATATAGAAACTTTAAAAAATAGATACCAAATGAAAAAAATCTGGACATAATCCTATTAAGTTTTCTTTTCTTTTTTGAATGAGGTCTTGCTCTGCCACCCAGGCTGGAGTGCAGTGGCATGATCTCGGCTCACTGCAACCTTCATCTCCTGGGCTCAAGCGATCCTCCCACCTCAGCCCCCCAAGTAGCTGGAACTATAGGCATGCATCACCACACCCAGCTAATTTAAAAAAAACAAACTGTTTGTAGAGATAGGGTCTTACTATGTTGCTCAGGCTGGTCTCAAACTCCTGGACTTAAGCAATCCTCCTTTCTTGGCCTCCCAAGGTGCTGGGATTACAGGAATGAACCACTGCGTCCAACCTAAAGCAACAAACTTTTATTTTCTCATACTGTTTCTAGGGTCAGGAATCTGGGCGCTGCTTAGCTGAGTGGTTCTGGCTGAGTCTCTTGGGAGGTTGCAGTCAAGATACCAGCCAGGGTGGAGTCTTCTGAAGGCTTAACTGCGGCCAGAGGGTTTGCTTCCAAATGTATTCACGTGGCTGTTAGCAGGGGGTCTCAGTTCCTTGCCACGTGGGCCACCCTGCAGGGCTGCTCACAGTGTGGCAGCTGGCTTCCCCCAGACCAAGTGATCAGAGAAAGAAGACACTGAGATGGAAGCAGCAGTGTCTTTTTTTTTTTTGGAGATGGAGTCTCATTCTCTTGCCCAGGCTGGAGTGCAGTGGCGATCTCGGCTCACTGCAACCTCCGTCTCCCAGGTTCAAACAATTCTCCTGCCTCAGCCTCCCAAGTAGCTGGGACTATAGGTGCACGCCCCACACCCGGCTAATTTTTTGTATTTTAGTAGAGACGAGGTTTCCCCATGTTGGTCAGGCTGGTCTCGAACTCCTGACCTCAAGTGATCTGCCCGCCTTGGCCTCCCAAAGTGCTAGGATTACAGGTGTGAGCCACCATGCCCTCCCTGCAGTGTCTTTTATAACCTGTTCTTGGAAATGGCATACCCTCACCTCTGCTCTGTTCTCTTGGTCACATAGACCAACCCTGACCCAGCTTGGAGGGGACTACACAAGGTGTGAAAATCAGGAGGTGGGATTGCTGGGGGCTTGGAGGCTGGCTGCAACATGCACAAGCGTGTGTGAAGCACCATTGGCGTGCCAGGCACTGTGCTAAGCAGCTAGCATGCATGATTTAATTCTCACAGTAATCTTATGAAATAGAGTCATTACCCTCGTCTTCCAGATGAAGCTCAGAGGTAAGCAGTTTGCTGAGAGTTACACAACCTGAGAGTGGCAGGGACTGGATTCAGACCTGGGTTGGTGATTAGAGTAGTTGTGTTTAAGGGAAAACAGCTTCAAAGGATTGTTCTGTGTGACCTTGAGCATGCTCTCACCCTCTCTGTTCTGTCCATCATCTGCTACCTTAGGCTAGCATTTCTTTCTGTTTTTTTTTTTTTTTCTGTGAAGTCCTTTTTTTTTTTTTTTGAGATTGGGGTCTCACCCTGTTGTCCAGGCTGGAGTGCACTGGCGTGATCACGTCACACTGCAGCCTTGAACTCCTGGGCTCAAGTGATCCTTCCACCTCAGCCTCCCAAGCAGCTGGGACAACAGGTGTGTGTTATCATACCTAGCTAATTTTTTAATTAAAAAATATATATATTTTTTGAGATAGTCTCGCTCTGTCGCCCAGGCTGGAGTGTAGTGGTGCAATCTTGGCTCACTGCAACCTCCGCCTCCCAGGTTCAAGTGATGCTCCTGCCTCAGCCTCCCGACTAGCTGGGATTACAGGCATGCACCATCATGCCCAGCTAATTTTTGTATTTTTAGTAGAGATGGGGTTTCACCATGATAGCCTCGAACTCTTGACCTCAGGTGATCCACCTGCGTCAGCCTCCCAAAGTGCTGGGATTAAAGGTGTGCGCCACCATGCCTGGTCAAATTAAAAAAAATTTTTTTGTGGAGATGGGGTCTAACTATGTTGCCCAGGCTGGTCTCAAACTCCTGGGCTCAAGTGATCCTCCTACCTTGGCCTCCCAAAGTGCTGGGATTACAAGTGTGAGCCACTGTGCCCAGCCTGGACTCGCATTTCTCTGTGGAGTCTGAATCAGGACTTTCTTACATCCTGGCCCTGTCCCAGACCTGCCGAGTCAGAAATTGCAGTGGGTGGGCCCCTCGCTGCCTTAGACCTGTGGGAAAAAGATGATGTGCCTTACCCCAGGGGAGGGCAGGAGGCAAACACAGGGATGAGGTCAGGATGAAAAAGGTGTGTGGCTGCCACCCAAGGATCTCAAGGATGCCTCTAGCATACGGGGGTTCGGTCAGGAAAGACATCTGGATTTCCTTGGCGCTTCCTTCCGAACAGGGTCCTGCACCAGCAGTCTGCAGACCACCCCCACAGGGTGGTTCTGATGCCATCAACTCCAGATGGCAGGCATATATGACACTGGGACATTACCGAGCTCCTAGTGGGCGTGCAATAAAGCCGTCCTCTGGCTGTGGTTTACTGTTTACCTGGGGTCTGGAGGTGCCATAATTAGAAAAAATAACAGGTGAGCTTCAGGGTCGCCTGTGGTGAGCACAAGTCCAGGATAATTATAGTGCACATCCCAGCCCCTGGCCAAAGGCCGAGCTGTTGGCTTATTTTTGCCTTGTGCCAAAGCCAGCTCTTTCTGTACCTGAGACACACACAACGAAAGGAATGGAGAATATTGATGAAGCGCAAATGTTTGCCCTGTAGCAGCCTCACGGCAGGACAGTGGGATGGAGAGAGAGTGGGCTCTGGGGTCAGCCAGACCCAAGTGTGCGTGCCAGCTCTGGTGTGCCTTGGCTGTGGGGCCTTAGGCACGTGGCTTCACAGTGTCATGGTGAAGACTCCACAGGAGGGGATGTGGGGGTCCATGGCACCCTGGCCCACTGGCAGCTCAGGATGATGAGACGTGGTTGTTATTGGTTATTGATGTGTCATTATTGTTACTGACACTAACAGTAATTGTTATGGTTATTATTAGAGTCTTTCTGGCCATGGCTGTGAACAAATTAGGACCGAGTTTTCCCAAAACTGTTTTCTGGTCTGTAAAATGGACACTTGATATTGATATCTACTCAGAGTGTCTCTAGGAGGATTAAATAAGGGAATGAAAGCGAAGTGCCAAGCAAGCGGGAATCAAATCTGAAGCTGTCACCCCTCACCCACCATCCCCAGCCTCTTTTCTCCTCTCTGCCACCCCACAGTGCCTTGACTAGTTTTCTTCTTTCTTTCTCTTTGTTTCCTTTCTTTCTTTCTTTCCTTTCTTTTCTTTCTTTTCTTTTTCTTTCTTTCTCTCTCTCTCTCTCCCCCTCCCTCCCTCCCTCCCTCCCTCCCTCTCTCTCTCTCTCCTTTCTTTTTTTCTTTCTTTCTTTCTTCTTTTTTGACAAGGTCTCACTTTGTTGCCCAGCCTGGAGCATAGTGGCACAATCTCTGCTCACTGCAACCTCCGCTGCCTGGGTTTGAGCAATTCTCCTGCCTCAGCCTCCTGAGCAGCTGGGATTATAGGCGTGTGCCACCACGCCTGGCTAATTTTGTATTTTTAGTAGAAACGGGGTTTCACCATGTTGGTCAGGCTGGTCTCAAACTCCTGACCTCAAGTGATCCACCCACCTTGGCCTCCCAAAGTGCTGGGATTACAGACATGAGCCACCGTGCCCGGCCTTGACTGCGATTTTAAAGTGGGGTTCAGAGTGTGTTCACTTAGAGGGTGAGGGGGTGGGCAGCCCGGATGATAATAGTAACAACAGTAACAGCCTCCGTTATTGAGCAGGAACTATATGCTAGGCACATTTTTTTCTTTGTTTGAGACAGGGTCTCTGTCACCCAGGCTGGAGTGTAGTGGCGCAATCTCAGCTGGCTGGAGCCTTGACCTCCTTGGGCTCAAGCTATCCTCCCACCTCAGCCTCTCAAATAGCTGGGACTACAGGTATGTACCACCATGCCTGCCTAATTTTTTTCTTTCTTTCTGTAGAAATGGGGTCTGCCCATGTTGTCCAGGCTGGTCTCGAGCTCCTGGGCTCCAGTGATCCTCCCACCTCGGCCTCCCAACATGTTGGGATTACAGGCCTGAGCCATTGCAGCTGGCTACTAGGCACCTTAATGTACTACTGCCTCGGTAAACCTCAGCAGCTGTGGGATCCATATTTTATAGCTAAGAATAGATCAAGGGAGATGAAATGACTTCCCAGGGGTCACCCAGCTCATAAGCAGCAGAGCTGGAATTCAGATGTGACCCATGTGACCCAGAGGTTGTCCCACTAGCCTTGCCCGCTGCCCCTTGGCCAAGAGAAGCCAGCACTCTCACCTGCTGGTGCTCCAGGGATCCAGCAGATGCCTTTGCAGCCGTGCACCTGGTCCCTGGGAGTGGGTGGATGGCACCACCTGTGTTTCTGGCAGGGCGTGGGGCCGGATGGTTCTGTGTTCCAGACGGGACCTCGCTCACACTCTGCTGCGTGTGCCACCCTCAGAGGATGGGGATGAATCACAGCAGAGGGGGCCAGCTTAGTCAGCACCCCATGATGGTATCTGGGCGCCATTTAGAGACACTCCAGCTGTCCCCTTCCTCCCCTGTCCCTGACCCCTCCTCGGCTGCCAAGTACGGTGGTGCAGGTTGCACCTTGTGCAAGGACACCTGGCTGAGGGGTGAGCTGGAGCTGAACTCCAGCCGGCATTCTGCTTGCCAAGTTGTGTGTCTGGCAGGGCGCTGCATGTGTCCAGAGGATTCTGCAAGTTGAACCTTATCCTAATGTGGGCAAAGGCATCAGAGCGGGAGGCATTTGGTTCAGGAGCTCTAGAATTTTACATCTGAGCGAGGTCATCTTGTTGAAGGCCAGCCTCTGTCTGGGAACATGGCCTCAGGCACATGCCTGTGGGGACAGGACTGTGAAGTAGGTAGAATGTGTGCCCCCTCACCCCAATGCCATCCCTGGGCAGTGGGGGCTCTGCACAGCTGGTTCTTTTTTGTTGTTGTTGTTTTTGCTTTTTTTGAGAGGGAGTCTTGCTCTGTCACCCAGGCTGGAGAGCAGTGGTTCGATCTCGGCTCACTGCAACCTTCGCCTCCTGGATTCAAGTGATTGTCCTGCCTCAGCCTCCCGAGTAGCTGGGATTACAGGCATGCGCCACCACACCCGGCAATTTTTTTTTTCTTTTTCAGATGGAGTCTTGCTCTGTCACCCAGGCTGGGGTGCAGTGGTGCGATCTCTGCTTACTGCAACCTCTGCCTCCTGGGTTCAAGCAATTCTTCTGCCTCAGCCTTCTGAGTAGCTGGGACTACAGGCACACGCCACTATGCCCAGCTAATTTTTGTATTTTTAGTAGAGACAGGGTTTCACTGTGTTGGCCAGGCTGGTCTCTAACTCCTGACCTCACTATCCACCCTCCTCAGCCTCCCAAAGTGTTGGGATTATGGGCGTGAGCCACCACGCCTGGCCTGAACACTGTTATTATCCCAGTTTTCATAGCAGGAAAACAAGGCCAGAAATGCCAGTATCACTGAGTGAGAAAATTAGGAAGCAGTAGCGACTGGATGTAAGCCCTGACATCTGACTCCAGAGCCAGCTCTTAACTCTGTCCCCGGACAGCCTCCCCAGGCACAGAAATGCAGAGATAGCTGGTCCTGATGCTCAGTGCTGTCCCCAGGCTGGGTATCCCGCTCTCGGAGGTGAGATGGGGGTGCTGTGACCTGCTTCTTAGGGTGAGAGGGTCAGGGAGGGGCCTGCCCAGGTGGTGCTCAGTGAGCATGCTTTCCCGTCCCAGAGGGACTGTGCTGCCCGTTGGTCTCCCTGGCCTGACACTGCACATGTGTCTGTGACAGGTAGATAGAAAGCATTGCCGGCTTGGTGCGGTGGCTCTCGACTGTAATCCCAGCACTGCAGGAGGCAGAGGTGGGAGGATCACTTGAGCTCAGGAGTTTGAGACCAACCTGGGCAACATGGCGAGACCAATATTTACATTTTTTAAAAAAGCGTTATTTTGGGCATCTTCTCATCTGATCACTGGATATTAGAACCAGAGAGGCCTTTAGAGATCAACTGGTCCTGCCACTGCAGCTTCCCACATGGGGAAACTGAGGCCCAGAGAGGGCAAGTGGCTGAGTCACAGACTGAGCCACGTGGCAGAGCTGGGACTGGAATGTGGGGTCGTGTTGACCCATCCAGGATGGCCGAACACTTCTCATGTGCTAGATGATGGGTGGGCAGAGGAGGGCATGGGTGGGCAGCCATGGCCCTGAGCTGAGGCTGACAAGGTGATGAAGTGAAGGGAACCATTAGCTGGTTTGCCCCCCATGGAGTGGAGGGGGTGAGAGAGAGGGGGGAAAACATGAACACCCACACATATACACACACATACAGCCCACCAAAGGGGCTTACCATTTGGGTCAGAGTGTGGCTGGGGAGGCAGGCCGAGGAGCGTGTGGTCCAGTTTCCTGGTGGGCTGGTGTTTGGGACAGCTAGCACGGCAGCATGAAGACAGGCTTTCCTGGCAGACCTGAGCCCCAGGTACCCTGAGGCCTGCTCTGCCCTTCCTATGTGTGTGAGCTGGGGCCCCTCATGGCACCTGTCTGGGCCTCAGTTGCCTCATTCATGAATGAGATTATAATCCACACCTCTTGGGGCTTGAAGGGGCTAGCATGGTCCTAGGGTGTAGCTAGTGATTAATAAAGGAAAATTGTCATTATTATGATTTGTTGGAAGGAGACTTTTTTTTTTTGGATGGGGGTCTTGCTGTGTTGTCCAGGCTGGAGTACAATGGCTCAGTCTCAGTTCACTGCAGCCTCTGCCTCCTGGGCTCAAGCCAGCCTCCTGCCTCACTTCCTGAGTAGCTGGGAATACAGGCATGTGCCACCACACTCAGCTGATTTTTGCATTTTTTGTACAGATGGGGTTTCACTCTATTGCCCAGGCTGGTCTTGAACTCCTGGTCTCAAGCAATCGACCCATCTCGGCCTCCCAAAATGCTGGGATTAAGGAGGAGACTTTCATTATGTGATCAGGAGTGGGGACCCTAGAGGCCTGCTACCTGGATTCCAAGCCCAGCGGGGCTCCTTCCTAGCAGTGTGACCTTGGCTAAGTCACTTCATTTCTGGAACCTGAGTGCCCCCATCTAAAAAGGCATAACAGGCCCTCCCCCACAGGTTGTCCTGGGGATTAAATGAGATGATGCATATAGAGCTTTCAGCTTAGTGCCAGCACGTAGTAGGTATTCAATAAACCACTAGCCCTAATAATAGGTAATATTTATTGAGCACTTGCTTAATGCCAGGTATTATCAGCATCATTTTCACCATCTGCATTAGGAAACTTCTCTGTACCACTTCCTGATCAAGCAGCCATTGCCTCATATTCCCACAGTGAACGTAGAGGCCTAGAGACAGGAAGTGACTTGCCCAAGGTCACACAGGCAGCTTTTCAATGCCTGTGTGGTTTTGTCTATCTAAGTAGGCCGCAGAGCCACCGTTCTGTTCCAGTCTCCCAGAGAACCACCCTCCCTGTCCCCTCCCTTCCCCATTACTCTCCAGCGCCAGCAAGCTTCTGGGAGCTTCAAGCTTTCTGAATGGCTTGGTTTAGCACTCGGCCGTTAAACGTTCATCTCTTACAATTTCAATCCAATTCCTATAAGTTTATTGACAAGATGGGGTGTATTAGAGCTGCCAAATTTAATATATCAAGTGTGCGTGTCTGGGACACGGTCCCTCTGCAGTAATGGGAGAAGAGAGGTTTTATATGTTTTCATTTTGAATGACTGTCTGTTCCTGATCCCATTACAGCCCCTGACTTAATGGCTGCTGTCCCTGTCTGCTGCAAGAATGGCTTTCTCCATCAACCTGCTTGGCTGTTGGGACTGTCTCTGTGTCTCTCCCCAGTCTCCTCCTCCTGAGCTGTGTTCCCCCATTGGTCCACTGTGGTGATCAGGTCCTGGGAGTCCAGGGCTTTGGCTGCTAGCCCGGATAGCTACCTTGTGACCTGGGGGAAATCATTTCTCTTCCTCATCTGGGCCTCAGGAACCTTTTCTGTGAAGTGAGGGGTCTGACCACAGGGTGAGCAGTTGGTCTGGGCTCAGCCTTGGCAGATCCCCCTTGGTGGCCCAAAGTGGACCTGTCTGTCCTCCTGTTTTGCAGCACCATACTCATGGACCCAAGGGCTGGCCATGAGAGTCACTGAATTGCCACCCACCTTGGGCTGCAGATCTCCTGGGTCAGGAGTGGTGGCTGTGGTCACCATGGCTGAGGGGTCTTAAGACCCCAAAATGTTTTCATTTCCCTCTGTGACTGGATTCGGACCTGCCACCTGATAATTTAGTGATCTCCTTGGGAAGCTGTCAGCATTCACTGCCTGCGCCCTCTGGCTTCTCTAAGCCTTGAACTGGCTGTGGAAGAGAGGACACCTGGCAATGTAACGTTAGGGGACTGGGTTTGCCTTCTGCTTATCAGCTGTGTGACCTTGGGCAAATCACACTCCCTCTCTGAACCTCAGTTGTCCCAAAGGGAAAATGAGAATTGATACATTTAACAAGTACTTCAATGCCTACTCTGTACTGTGCACTATTTTAGGTGCTGGGGCTCCAGCAGTAAACAAAACACAAACCTGCCCTCATGGGTTTATATTCTCATTGTGGGAGAAAGACAGTAAACATAACAAGTAACTTATTGCATGAAGGGTGTATTAGTCCGTTCTCACATTGCTATAAGGAAATACCCAAGACTGGGTAATTTACAAAGGAAAGAGGTTTAAGTGACTCACAGTTCTGCATGGCTGGGAAGGCCTCAGGAAACTTACAATCATGGCAGAAGGGAAAGGGGAGGCAGGCACCTTCTTCACAAGGCAGCAGGAGAGAGAAGTGCTGAGCAAAGCACGAAGAGCCCCTTATAAAACCATCAGATCCTGTGAGAACTCTTCACTATCATGAGAACAGCATGGGGGAAACCACCCCCATGTCAGTTACCCCCACCTGGTCTCTCCCTGGACACCTGGGGATTATGGGGATTACAATTCGAGATGAGATTTGGGTGGGGATACAAAGCCTCACCATATCAAAGGGTGATACATGCTATGAGGGAAAATAAAGCAGGGAGTGGAGGAAGCTAAGTGGAAGATTCTGCCATCTTGGATAAAGTAGCATTGGAGCAAAGATGGAAGGGGTCAGGAGGGGAAGTGAGGCGGGAGTTTGCAGGAGGGCATACCCCTCCCTGGGGAGCCTTGGGTGCAAAGGCCGGGAGGTGGCCATGTGCCTGGCATGTGTGAGGAGCAAAGGGGAGGCCGGTGTGGCCTATATGATGCAAATGTGGAGGTCAGAGGTATGGTAGGGGATGGGGCGGTGGCTCGTACCTGTAATCCCAGCACTTTGGGGGGCCAAGGCGGGAGGACACTTGAGCCCAGGAGACCAGCCTCTGCAACATAGCGAGACCCCATCTCTACAAAAAAATTGTTTTTTTAAGTTAGGAATGATGACACGCACCTGTAGTCTCAGCTACTTGGGAGACTGAGGTGGGAGGATCACTTGAGCCCAGAAGGTTAAAGCTACAGTAAGCCGTGATCACACCACTGCACTCCACCCTGGGTGACAGAGCGAGACTCTGTCTCAAAAAAATAAAACCCTATGTGGTAGGAGACAAGGGAGGCCAGCCACAGGGTATAAGGTGGCAGTTCAGCCTACTTACATGTTAGAATCACCTGATAGACTTTAAAAACTACCAAACAGCAGCCAGGCACAGTGGCTCATGCCTGTAATCCCAGCACTTTGAGAGGCTGAGACAGGAAGATTGCTTGAACCCAGGAGGTGGGGGCTGCAGTGAGCTGTGTTTGCAACACTGCACTCCAGCCTGGGTGACAGAGCAACACCCTCTCAAGAAAAAACAGTGCCCAGGCCTCACCCACTGAGGTTCTACTTTAACTGGCCTAAGTTGCAGGCTGGGCATCAGAATGGTTAACAGATCCCTCTGGAATGAGGCCTCTTAGGCCATACTCATCAGCTTGACACTCCTAATGGGGCGGGGTGCATATGAGTAAAGCCTGGGCTCAGGCCTGGCCCTCAGGAAGCATTCAGTGGGCTGGTGAGGGATGTGTTTTCTCCAATGGTCTAATCTGAGCTCTTTGTGGCTT
Organism: Homo sapiens; assembly: GCF_000001405.40. Classification (NCBI taxonomy): domain Eukaryota; kingdom Metazoa; phylum Chordata; class Mammalia; order Primates; family Hominidae; genus Homo; species Homo sapiens. Next base: position 29,748,576 of record NC_000022.11, on the reverse strand, counting down.
CCCAGGCAGCAAAGCACCTGCTCTGAGTGGCCATGGGGAAGCGATACTTCTGTGACTACTGCGACCGCTCCTTCCAGGACAACCTCCACAACCGCAAGAAGCACCTGAACGGGCTGCAGCACCTCAAGGCCAAGAAGGTCTGGTACGACATGTTCCGAGGTGGGTGCCGCTGGCTGGGGGCCAGGCTCCTGGAGCCCTGCTCTCTGATCTTTCTTATCATCAAAGACTCCTGTGGGTCAGTGACAGTCTAGGTCTGGGCTCTTTGAGGATCAAAAGAGAGGGAGGCCTGAGCCACTGGGCCCTCAGAGGAGCAGGCTGGTAGGTGAGCTCTTTCCCCAACAACGCTGACTGAAGGCTCTGTGGACAGGAGGAAGGCCCTAGAAGGAGGTGATGTTTGAGCCAACAGCTAAAATAGGGGAAAGCTAGCCATGCAGTTCTGGGTGGAGGGTGTGAAGAGAAGCAGGCAGCCCTGAGTCCAGCACCAGGGCTCTCGGAGCAGGAGGGAGAGGGTGTGGCTGGGCGGAGCAGGCCAGGGGAGAATGGTAGGGCTCAAGCTGGCTCTGGGGCAGGGATCTTCCAAGCCTGTGGAGGCCATCATAAGCAGGGGGCGGAGGTGGGGGGGTCCCTGTTCCAAGGGCAGAGAGCAGCCTTTGAAGGGCTTTAGCTGCCGTGGCCAGACCTGCCTTGACAGCGCAGACTGCTTCGTGGGGAGCAGTTGGGTGCGGTCAGTGGCAGTTGAATGACTGGCTGCAGGCACGGGTGAATAACCCAGTTGCAGAAGGAAGGCAGGCTCTTCTGGGAAAGGCCTCTCAGAGCAAGAACAATTGGGGTGAATGAGCTAAGGTCGGAAGTGCCTAGCACAGGGCCTGTTTCCCGGGAGGTGCCCAGAGAGGGGAGTTGTGCTGTTGCACGGCTGTCACTGGACATTCACACTGAGGAACAGCCAGGGAGGTTCCAGAGGGTGACTGGCAGGAGCCAGGTTGAGAGATATGGGCACTTGGCGGTGGGGCGAGGGTGGGCCAGGAGCTCCTGGAATGAGCCAGAGTGGGGCCGATGCCCTGTAGGTTGGTGAGCAGGATTCTGGGACAGGGCCTCCGAAGAAGGAACCAAATCCAGCAGCCAAGAAGGGAGGAGAGGTGGAGAGAGAGTTCCCTGGTTGGGGCTAGGTGTGGTGGCTTTCCCCTGTAATCCTAGCACTTTGGGACACTGAGGTGGGAAGATTGTTTGAGCCCAGAAGTTCAAGAGCAGCCTGGGCAGCATTGTGAGACCCCGCCTCAAAAAAGGCCTGAAACTGAGAGTTCACAAACAAGGAATGAGCATGGATCGCATGCCTGCTACATGCTGGTGCTTTTCATAGTTCGTCATTTGCTTTTCTCGACAACTCTCTAGGGCAGTGATTCTCAACTCCGGCTGCAGGTTAGGATCACCTGGAGACCTTTAGGCTAAAACCACTGATTCCCCAACCCCATCCCCTCCCCAGAGGCAGGTTTGGGGACTAGGCATGGTGTTTCTAAAGGCTTCCCAGACTCCGCATTTCACTTGAGGGAGCTGAGGCTCAGAGGTTCAAGTGAGGGGGTGGCCAGGCTGCTCAGCAGGCCAGGCGTGGCTGTGGTTGCAAGGCCACAGGAAAATTCATGGGCAGTGGGGTCTCCTAGCTCCCTAGGAGACTCTAACCCTGGTGTTACGCTAAGGCTCCCTGCTGTGCAAATCCAGTGTGGGCTGTGATCTAGAGGGAGCTGGGCCGAGATCACCTAGTCCCAGATTCTCAGCTGTCAACAGCTGGATGCTGGGATCCAGGGCTGATTGGCAGAGGTCCCTGTGTCACTTATAGAAAAGATGAAGCAGCAGGTGACAGGAGTGCCCCAGGGCTCCTGTGTTCTCAGTGTCCTCACATCCCCAACACATTCAGTCCTTAGAACAGTTCTGTAAGAGGCTGGGCAGGCCAAGCCAGGCATTCCCAGTTACAGGTGGTGACTTCAAAATCCAGAGCAGGCAGGGCATGGTGGCTCACACCTGTAATCCCAGCACTTTGGGAGGCTGAGGTGGGAGGATCGCTTGAGTCCAGGAGTTCAAGACCAGCCTGGGCAACATAGTGAAACCCCATCTCTACTAAAAATAAAAAAATTTGGCCAGACTCCGTGGCTCATGCCTGTAATCCCAGCACTTTGGGAGGTTTGAGGTGGGTGGATCACCTGAGGTCAGGAGTTCAGGACCAGCCTGGTCAACCTGGTGAAACCCTGCCTCTACTAAAAATACAAACATTAGCTGGGCGTGGTGGTGGGTTCCTGTAATCCCAGCTACTTTGGAGGCTAACGCAGGAGAATTGCTTGAACCTGGGAGGTGGAGCTTGCAGTGAACTGAGATCACACCACTGTACTCCAGCCTGGGCAAGAGAGCAAGACTCCATCTCAAAAAAATAAAAACAAAAATAAAAAAATTAGCCAGGCATGGTGGCCCATTCCTGTGGTTCCAGCTGCTCAGGAGGCTGAGGTAGGAGGATCACTTGACCCCAAGAGGTGGAGGCTGCAGTGAGCCGAGATTGCACCACTGCACTCCAGCCTCGGCAACAGAGCGGGACCCTGTCTCAAAAAAAAATAAATAAATGAAATAAAATCCAGGGCAGTGGGTTCCCTCACCTTGGGTCCCCAGCTACCGAGGACCAAGCTGGCACATGACCTCTTTCCACTTCCTCAGGAGGCTGCCCCAGGGCTTCTGCTCACTCTGAGCAACCGCAGGGACTTGCGGATATACCGTGTGAATGAACTCGACTTCAGCTTTGCTCCCAGCTTCTTGGCCTGGGCCACGTCCCCTTAGCCCTCAGAGGGGCTGATGATCCATCCGCCATGGTCAGGTGCAGGGCACCAGTCCCCAGGTGTCACTCACTAACACTGTGGCCCTCATTTTGTCATGTATAAAACAGCTACAACAGTCCCCACCTTCCAGGGCTATGACAGGGGCTCAGTAACCTCATGATGACTGCATGGCACATAAGAGCTTACTAAGTAGGCATGGTGCCTGTGGGTCCTCAGAAGGATTCCCTCCAGCCTTCATCTCATGGGCTCATTCATTCAGCATGTCCGCGGCTCCCAGGCAGGCTCTAAAGATTCAAAGGTGGATAAAATAGGGCCCCTCTGCCTAGCGAGCTTGCGCCCAATTAGAATGGTGTGTTCTGGGCAAAGCCCCTGTCCTGCCCAGGCCTCCATGACCTGCCGGCCTCTCCCTTCCAGCTGCAGCCACCCTGGCCACTGCATCTGCTGGGCATAAGCTGTCCCCTCTGTAGACATGCCCTTCCTGCTGTCCTCCCTGCCCCAAGCCAGGCCCCCCCACCACCTCAGAACTCAAGTCAGGCAGCAAATCCTCAGGGACGTCCTCCCCGACCCCTAGAACGGGTCAGGTCGTTTGGCTACACGCTAGATGTTTACCCCGCTTACATCCATAGGGATTAGTGTGACTGTTGGACCAGAAGGAAGGACCAGCTCCGACTTGTTCTCCACTTAAATCCTCAGCCTGGCGTGGTGCCTGGCACACAGGACATGCTCAGTGAATGTTTGGCAGATGAATGTCTAAGTGATTGAGCAAAGAAACATGAGGCACCAGGGGCAGCTGTTCATCTGGGAGATGAAGCAAGAAGGACCAATAGGATCAGATCATGAGGGGCCTTGAATACCCACTGCAAGAGCATGGGCTTCCTCGTGCAGGGCCTGGGCCAGGGGTTCTCAACCCTGAGTACACTTCAGAGTCACCGAGGAGCTTTAAACAATTCTGATGCCCTCCCTTCCAATGAATTAAAAGAGAACCTGAGAGGGCTGGGGCCGGGTGTCCATGTACTTTAAAAACTGCCTGGTGATTCTGATGTGTGGCTGGGGTCAGGAACCACTAAGCGGACGTGGGCAGCCTGGAATTCTTCTCCCACCCCAAGCCACCTGGCACAGCCCCTTGTATAGGACCCAGGCTCAGTCCCGCCGCCTGCCTCAGTCATCCCAGCCTTGGGGGTCCAGGGCAATGTCCACATGCCCTCCCCTAGTACCCCCCCACCTCAGGGAAAGGCAGGCAGTGGTGTCTGTAGCACCAGCTGGGTACAATGAGTCTGACAAGCCCGGCGCTAACAGATAGACCCTCCCCACCCTGCTGGTCCCCCTGGCATGAGTTCTCTGACAACCAACTCCTTATCCCAGCAGACCACACCCCCCGCCCGCCCCCGCCTCCCACAAGCCACCAGTTGCCCTTGGCAAATCACTTCCCTTGTCTGAACCTCTGTTTTCCCCTCTGCAAAGTGGGGATGTTTGCGCTGTTCAGAGGGTTTGTGAGGAAAAAATGAAGAATTGCTACCATTTGCTGTGTACCCACCCAGTCTTGGCCGTATACCTGGAGAACATGGTGCTAAGGCCACTGCTGGCCCCAGAGGCAAACCTGGTCACTTTCCTAGTGATTCTCATGTACCACCAGAGTTGGGAGCCACGGGCCTCCTCTGCAAAGCACTCTCCATTCATTATCTGATGACATTTTCACAGCAGCCCTGCCAGGTGGGAACTATCCTCCCATTTGACATATGGGGAAACTGAGACTTGGAGTTTATGCAGCTTGCACGTGGTCATATGTTGTTAGGATTTGAGCTCAGGTTTCTTGGACTCTGGAGCCTGTGGTCTTTCCTTGGCCTCTAGAAAAGGTGGTGGGTGAATGTCCAGCCCAGGCCTTGCCTCTCCCCTCCCCTGGGGTGGATATAAGGGTTCCTGAGTCAGGATACCATCCTCAGGTACCCTACTTCCTTACAGATTTTGACTGATTAATAGCTTGCCTATCAAGAAGCAAATTTAAAACCATACCTATATGATGAAAGTAAAGATAGGCTGGGCACAGTGGCTCACGCCTGTAATCCCAGCACTTTGGGAGGCCAAGTGGGGAGGATCGCTTGAGCCCAGGAGTTCGAGACCAGCCTGGGTAACATGGCGAAACCCCATCTCTACAAAAAAATTAAAAAATTAGCCGGGCATGGTGGCGGACGCCTGTAGTCCCAGCTACTCGGGAGGCTGAGGGGGAAGGATCACCTGAGTGCAGAAGGTGGAGGCTGCAGGGAGCTGAGATCATGCCGCTGCACTCCAGCCTGGGTGACAGAGTGAGAACTTGTCTCAAAGAAAGAAAAGAAAAATAGGAAAAATCAGAGGAAACTAGGGTTAAGATTAGGATCAGAGTGATTGCCGATGCTACAGAGTGATTGTCGGAAGTCCTGTCCGCGGCGGTGGCTGGTCTGGCCCTGAGTGCCCTACAGCTGGTGGAAGGAGGGGAGACAGAGGCCAGGGATTGCAGTCTTGCCTGTGGAGCAGTGCCTGGATCCTGGGATTGGCTGGTGGGCTTCCTGGGCACTAGGATTTACTTAAAAATTTTTAGCATTTTATTTTGAAATAATTATAGATTCACAGCAAGTTGCAAAGATAATAATGAGAAGTTCCATAGTGCCAGGATTTTTTTAAAGTATTATACCTCCAGGCTGGGCCCAGTGGCTCACACCTGTATTCCTAGCACTTTTGGAGGCCAAAATGGGAGGATCGTGTGAGCCCAGGAGTTCAAGACCAGCCTGGGCAACATAATGAGACACCAGCTCTACAAAAAGATAAAAAATATTAGCTGGGCATGGTGGTGCACAGCTGTAGTCACACCTAGTTGGGAGGCTGAGACTGGAGAAGGATCACTTGAGCCCAGGAGGTAGTGGCTGCAGTGAGCCATGATTGCACCACTGCACTCCAGCCTGGGTGACAGAGCGAGACCCTGTCTCTAAAAAACAAAAAAACCCAAAGTCCCCAGACTCTCCAGCTGACTCCCTCGTGCCAAGTTGAGAACTGCTGGCATGAAACTTGGTCCTTGTCTTTGGCCCGTCCTGCGTGGGGTGGGATGGATTGAGGTCACCTGCAGCTCGGATCCATCTGCCCAGGACTCCCACCTGTGGTCATCTCCTGCTTCCACTCCTCCGTGGAACAGGAAACTCTTCTTTCTGCACAGCTGTGTCGAGATAAAGGGTCCATATGCCCCTGTGGCTTCCACTTCCTGCCTCCTTTGGTGGAGCCTGAACCATCCGAATCCCGTCCCTCTCTTCTCTCGCAGATGCAGCTGCCATCTTGCTGGATGAGCAGAACAAGCGGCCCTGCAGGAAGTTTCTACTGACAGGTAAAGTCCTCTGCACAGCTCAGGTCCCTGCGGGGACCTGCGATATCCAGCCTGCCCCACTTGGACCTCTGCAGAGTGTCTTCCCCGACCCGGGCCACCATCCCAAGCCCACTTTGCAGCAGTGGCTCCAGCTGACTGGCCAGTCAGGGCCTTCCCAAGTGTGTCTCAGGACCTCCTAGAGTCTGGTCCTCAGCTCTTCAGATCTAGAATGTGATTATATCAGCTCACCTAGAACAAGCAAGGCGTGGGAGATTACATGTAAATCCAAGAGACACTTATGGGTGGAATAGACTTGTTGATTAAGTTAGCCTGGGAACCTGGCCTCCTTCCCAGCAGGCAGAACTTCAGAGAGTAACAGGGTTGATGATCTGAGGAAGTTCAGGATCAGAACCAAGGATGCTAGGTGTAGATTTGACTGCTCAGTACTCAGCTACTAGAGATGCATATAGGTCAGAGAGATAAAGGGCCGAGCATGGTGCCTCACTCTTGTAATCCCAGTACTTTGGGAGGCTGAGGTGGAAGGAATGCTTGAGGCCAGGAGTTTGAGACCAGCCTGGGCAACATAGCGAGACCCCATCTCTACCAAAAAAATTTTTTTTAATTAGCTGGGCATGGTAGCACACACTGGTAGTCCCAGCTACTAGGGAGGTTGAGGCAGGAGGATCACTTGAGCCCAGGAGTTCAAGGCTGCAGTGAGCTATGATTGCACCACTGCACTCCCACCTGGGCAACAGAGTGAGGACCCTGTCTCTTTTAAAAAAAGACAGAGCAAGAGGTAAAACCTCAGTAAGTGAAGGAACCAAAGACAGATACAAATAAGAGTAGGAAAAATAAGATAAAACCAAGAGAATAGTCTCCTCCATGCTTGCCCTTGAGGTCCTATGTATTCTCTAAGGGTTTGGCTCTGAGCTTCCTGGCAGCCATGGCAAAGAGGAAAACTATGATGATTCACATGGTTTGTAAGGGAGCTTAGCACTGGGGAGAGGTGCTGCAGCTGAACTAGGGAAACTGGGTGAATGTCCAAGCTCCCCTAGGATGGGCACCAAGCCTGCAGATCAGGGGCTTCCCTACAGACTTTGCCTTGATGTGAATATGTCACTGGTAGGTTATCCTGGCTTGAGACACCTCCAGCCTCCCAGTATCTCGACATACATTTTGGTCTCCTTGGTTGAAAGAGGGGAAGCCACCCCAGATTTTGGTGCCTCTTTGGCAAAGCTGCCACTGAAGCCTTTCTAAGGAGCAGTCCAATTGCTCCCGTGAGCCAGGTAGGCAGGCAGAATACTAGGCTGGGCATAGCACGTGCTGCGGCTTGGAGTGGAGAAAGGAAGCATTGCCCTTTCAGGAACCCATATGTAGTTCATCGAGGCAGGGCTGGGAGGGCTGGTGACAGAGACAGCCTGCAGAGGCTTGCGAGGCCCAGTCATGACAGGCTTCAGTTGGAAGTGATCCCCAGCATGGGGGGCAGCTGGAGAAGGGTCGTGAGCATGTGGCATGATAGGTGAGAAGTCGCTCTGGCTGCTGAATGGGCAGGGCCGGAGAGATTCCATTTTCTGTCCCGGATCAGGGTTGCTATTCTTTAGGCCCTGAAGTCCTGCCCCTAAGATTCTGGGATCCCTCATCTGGGCACCCCTCAGCCCCTGTGGGGAGCCCCTCCCGAGCAGCGAGTAACTCTGTCTTCCTGCTGCAGGCCAGTGCGACTTTGGCTCCAACTGCAGATTTTCCCACATGTCAGAGCGAGACCTGCAGGAGCTGAGCATCCAGGTGGAGGGTACGTCTCGGGATGCCCTGGGCTAAGCGGGAGTGGGGTGCTGGGGCATGTGGGCTCTGAGACCGGGGAAGCTGGCCTATGCCTCCCTATCTCCCCATCATTGGCAACCAAGGGCCACCCAGGGTGATGCGGAGCCCTGAGCCCCCGGTTTGGGCCAGGTGTTAGGAACAGCTTCAGCATGAGTGGAGAAGGCAGGCCTGTGTCCCCTTACAGTGGAGCCTGTGTGGCTTCCTGCCTGGGAGCCCTGAAGGTGCACCTCAGCCCCACCTGGACCCTGTGGCCAGCCCAGCAGTCATTGGTGGGTACACCCCATCCCTTCCTCAATCAGGCAGCATACCCAGTCCCCACTTGGCACCAAGCAGACCCCTTACGACAGTCTAGGGATAAGGAGTTTAGGAACGCACCTTCCCTGCCCTCTGGAGTCTCACAGCCTGGTGATTCCAGGGAGGGGCAAGTTCAGCTTCCATGGAAACTGACATCTCGCCTTTGGGAAATTCACTCCTCTAGTTAGAGAACAAGGAAGTTCTGACTGAGATGGTGTTTATCAATCTTCTTCCACAGCCTCTCACTGAACAGGTGGGGAAACTAAGGCCAACATTCAGACTGAAAGGCCTCGCGTGAGCCCCCCAGCAGGTTGGGGGCAGACTCCAGGTCTCTCAGTGCCTGCCCCCTTAAGCTTCTCTGTCCAGGAGGCCTCAGGGTAGCCAGTGAAGGTCTGGGGCAGCTTGGCCTTTGCCCTGATCCCCCTACGGGCCTCACTCCCCTCTGACCAGTTAGACACTGCAGGCTCCGTGCCCTGCCCTGGGAGCCAGTGGTGCTGTGGCTGCAGCCCCGGGACCAACACAGGGTTTCCAGGAGCATTTTTCCCCAGGGTGGAAGCAAGGCCTTGTGGGACTGGCCAGCAAGTCCTGGCAGCAGCGGCAGCTGCAGCTCTTCCCTGGCTATGGGCTCTCAGAGGACGGCTGGCCCATGGTGGGACGAGCACGGGGCAGTGGGCCTGGAACTGGAGACGATGCCGAGCGGGGACAGGAATGGGGAGAGGCCCAGGGAGGCTGGGAACAGAGTCCCAGCTGGCAGCTCTGACAGTCCCAGCTCTGCCACGTCCTCTGTAACCTTGGTACGTGGCTTAACCTCTTGGAGGCTGTGTCCTGTCGAATGTGATGTCTCTAAGGATGAAGCAAGATGACACCTGTACAGCCCAGGGCCCGGCCCCAAGTGAGCTCCAGAGACCAGGGCCCGGCCCCGAGTGAGCTCCAGAGACCGAGGCCTGGCCCCGAGTGAGCTCCAGAGACTGGGGCCTGGCTCTGAGTGAGTGCTAGTCAAGTGTATGATTACTTTCCTCTGGCCCAAGACTCCATCCCAGATGACTTGGCGACTCTGACCCCATCAAACGCTCACACCCAGCTTGTATAAATTCCATTCGTTGATTGGTTTTAATTCGTTGAGCAACAGGTTTTGTTGGACAGCTTATGAGAATAAAAACCAGGGAAGCTGAGGCTCATTACCCTGCCCAGGGTCAAAGACCCGGCAGGTGACAGAGCTGAGATGTGACCCCATTCGACTGCCCTCACTGCCTCCCTGCACCTCAGATTCAGACCCCTCCTTAGGGCCAGGCTCTCTCTCTCTTTTTTTTTTTTTGAGATGGAGTTTCACTCTTGCCGCCCAGGTTGGAGTGCAGTGGTGCGATCTTAGCTCACTGCAGCCTCCACCTCCTAGGTTCAAGCGATTCTCCTGCCTCAGTCTCCCAAGTAGCTGGGATTACAGGCACCCACCACCACACATGGCTAATTTTTTTTATTTTTATTTTTAGTAGAGGCAGGGTTTCTCCATGTTGGCCAGGCTGGTTTCAAACTCCTGGACTCAGGTGATCCGCCCGCCTTGGCATCCCAAAGTGCTGGGATTACAGACGTGAGCCACCACGCCTGGCCAGGGCCAGGTTCTCTACAAGCACTGTCCTGTTTCCAGCTCCCCAAGAGCTTGGAGGCAGCCGGGGTTGTCTCTATTTGATGGGAAAACAGAGCGAGGCCGAGTGCTGGGCCCTCGTGCACAGATGGCCTGGAGAAGCAGTCCAGGTGCATCCTCCTGGAAGGTTGCTGCAACTTCCCAGGCTTGCTCAGGGCCTACCAGTTGCTTCTGCTTTGTGAGAGGGTAGGGTTCTGGCAGGCAGGAGTGTACCCCTCACTTGCCTTTGTCTCCCTGTCCCCACAGAGGAGAGGCGAGCCAGGGAGTGGCTACTAGATGCTCCTGAGCTCCCCGAGGGCCATCTGGAGGACTGGCTGGAGAAGAGAGCCAAGCGGCTGAGCTCAGCCCCAAGTAGCAGGTACAGGTCCCCAGGGTTCCCTCCCGCTGTGCCCCCTGGGGGCAAAACCCCAGCCCGCCTTCCCCTTCCTGAGGCTCAGGAATCTCCATGAACTGCCCAGGCCCAGGGGCCGAATAAAGTTGCCTACACATAGCTCCCCGAGGAGCCCTTGGGGCCCCAGGCCCTGGCCAGAGGCTGAGGGGTGTTTGAAAGAGCCTCTCCCAAAGCTGGGCCCCTGTTGGAGTCTGTGCTGGCTGGAGGGGAGGCAGGCGGCAGAGCTGATTTGGCTGCAAGTCACAAGTCCGTTGCCAGAGGGAGGGGCCTGGGCTGTGGTCACCATGCACTGCTGCCCACTGTTGCCTCTAGGGCCTTGCAGAAGGGAAAACAGGGAGGGTGCGACTTGCCCGAGGGCACACAGACGGGAAAATGTAGAGCCGGGATTGCACAGGCGTGATGACGAGGTCCTGGTCCCACTGCCTTTCTAAGGAAGGGGGTCTGGAGATGGCCCCAGCCCTCGGGACGCTCACAAGTAGAAGGGGAGCTGCTGGATCGGGGTCCTTGGGGTGTGTGCTTCGTGATGTCCCTGGTCCTCCTCTTTGAGGGAAGGGCCTCGGGTGATATTCACATCAGAACGGGGCACAGGGCAGGCAGGGGCAGACAAAGGCTGGCGGCCAAAACCGAAGCCTGAGCTCCTGGGCTCTTCCTCCAGCAGTTGAAGGAGGGAGGGGAGGAAAAGGGGATAAAGCTGCGCCCAGGAGCCGCATGCGACTTTGAACACGTTTTCCCATCCCGACTACCTTGCTTTCCCCATCTTGCAACGGGCTTCAGACCTGACTACCTCTGTGGTGTGGCTTCACAAAATGGTGGCCTGGCCTGGGCCAAGGGGACCTGGCCAGATAGTCTGGGGGAAGAGGCCTTCCCTTGGAGCTCTGCCAGGAGGTGAAGGCCAAACTTCTTGCCTTCTCTGTGCTCCAGTGAAAGAGACTATGAGGGTGTTTTTTTTCTTTCTTTCTTTCTTTTTTTGTGATGGAGTCTTGCTGTATTGCCCAGGCTGGAGTGCAGTGGTGTGATCTCAGCTCACTGCAACCTCTGCCTCTGGGTTCAAGCGATTCTTCTGCCTCAGCTTCCCAAGTAGCTGGGATTACAGGCACCCACCATCATACCTGGCTGATTTTTGTATTTTTGTAGAGATGGGGTTTTACCATGTTGGCCAGCCTGGTCTTGAACTCCCGACTTCAGGTGATCCGCCTGCCTCGGCCTCCCAAAGTGCAACGTGTTGGGATTACAGGCATGAGCCACCACACTCGGCTTTTTTTTTTTTTTTTGAGACGGATTCTTGCTCTACCGCCCAGGCTGGAGTACAGTGGTGCAATTGTCTCATTGCAAACTCCACCTCTTGGGGTTCACGCCATTCTCCTGCCTCAGCCTCCTGAGTAGCTGGGACTACAGGCACCCGCCACCACGCCCGGCTAATTTTTTTGTGTGTTTTTAGTGGAGACGGGGTTTCACCATGTTACCCAGGATGGTCTCAATCTCCTGCCCTCCTGATCCACCCGCCTCAGCCTCCCAAAGTGCTGGGATTACAGGTGTCAGCCACCGCGCCCAGCCTTTTTTTTTTTTTTTTTTTTTTTGAGATGGAGTCTCGCTCTGTCACCCAGGCTGAAGTGCAGTGGCACGATCTCGGCTCACTGCAACCTCCGCCTCCTGGGTTCAAACATTTCTCATGCTGCAGCCTCCCAAGTAGCTGGGATTACAGGCATGCACCACCATGCCCGGCTAATTTTTGTATTTTTAGTAGAGACAGAGTTTCGCTGTGCTGGCCAGGCTGGTCTCGAACTCCTGACCTCAGGTGATTCACCTGCCTCAGCCTCCCAGAGTGCTGGGATTACAGGCATGAGCCACCGCACCCAGCCAGTAAAGGTGTTTTAAAACTAACTTTGTCTTTTACCTTTATTTTAAATCCGTGTTCAGTTTTTGTCTCCCCACCTTAAAAGTATATGTGGTACAGACATGACTCAAACGTTGGAGTGTGACATTCTCTCCTCCTGGTCCTGTCTGAAGGGTCCCGTCTAAAGGGGTTCTATCCTGTCTTTGTGCATGTGAGCACCTCCTTTGGGACTGGTTGCTGTCCAGGGATCCACGTCCTACACCCCAGACTCCTTCAGCCCGTGTGCAAAAGGCTTGAGCTGGTTGGAGGCTGCCCAGAAAGCTCTGGCCCCTGCACCGCTACTTGGACAGGATCTCCTATGAGTCCCATCCTCACTCTGCCACCTGCTAACCGAGTTGCACCAGCCACTCGCCTCCCTGCTCTGGGTCCATGGTGTCCTCCGCTGGGAGCGAGTCACAGAGGCCCGGCTGTCTCTTGGGGCTGTGACAAGGTTTCATGGAGTCCCTGTGGCTGAACTGGAGTGAGCACCAATGGGTGGGGTAGAGATGGGGTGCCCCAGAGTCCTTGCCTGGGTTCCAGACAGATGCATCCCTGTGCTGAAACAAGGCGCTATGAATTTGAGACTTGGGGGACTAGGGTACCAGATGGGGAAACTGAGGCTGAATGACTGGCTCCTAGTCACAGGTTGAAGTGGTGACCATATGAGAATTGAGTTTGGTGCTTACAGTGTTCCCAGTGTTTGGGGGCATTCAGGGAGATTGGCACCCCCATTTTGCATCTGAGGAATCTTAACCTCTCCAGGAGGTGGGGCCATCCTGATCACACGTGCCCTGCTGCCCTTAGCCCTCACTTGAGAGAGAGCTAGGTCCCTGCTCTGTGTCTAGACCCCAGGCTGCCTCTGACACCAAGTTCAGGGCTGGCCCAAGGCTCTGTGTGGCTGTGGGTAGTGGCAGTGGCAGCAGCAGGCTGCCCTGATGGCAGTGACTGTTTTGGGAATGATTGTTCTGCAACTGGAGCCCACCTTGGCTGTAGGGGGTCTGAGCCCTGTGCTCTGGGCCATTGTCCCTCTGGCCACCCAGCCTGGCCCCTTCCAGGGGATCTGCCACCTGCCTTCCTCCTGCCTCCTGAGGGCTTGGGGCCAAAATGAATTGTTCTCTAGGCAGAGCAGGCCTGTCCAGCCTTGAGAAAAAGGGGCTGTGGGAAGGGAGGTGACCGTTTATTCCTGCTTTTGCCATTGCTGCCTTGGGCGTCCATAACTGTCTCCGGGCAGGCTGGTCTCCTGAAGCCTAGCAGCCTTTCCCTCCGTCCTGGGCTTTGAGCCCCTCCCCTGCATCCACACCCCCTACCCTGCTTAATGGGAGGGGGTGGATTCCAGCCCCAGCCCCCGCAAGGCTACCTCACTTTCTTCCTGGCTCCCTCTCCAGCCTGGAGGCAGTGCTGCAGCAACAATGTTCTTCCTCCACCCTGGCTCTCCTGGGCACCCCAGCGGCCCCTCCCTGGTCTCCCACCTTCCCTCTGCTCCCGCGGGGGATCCTCCACACAGCAGCCCTGATGCACCCTGGCCCTGGCGCTTCCCCACATCCTCCACCTCTGGCCGCACAGCCCCATTTGCAGGGCTGGGGCTGGGGCTGGGGCGGGGGACCCTCCCTGATGCCTCCGCAGCCAGTCGGATCTCACCTTCTCACCTCTTGCCTCTGGCCTGACTGGTGGTCCCACTGGACACTCGGCAGCAGCTTAGATGAGGCATCATTTGTGATTTTGGAGCACCTTGCGCATGCTATTTTCTTGCCTGAAACTGCCTCCCACCTCTCTGCCTGGCAGAGTCAGACTTGTCCTGGAAGCTCTAGCTGAGACATCACCCCTCCCAGCCCCCGCTTCTCCTGCATGGCCTGGGCAGACTTGGGGGTGCCCAGGACAGGTTTACTGCATGAATGAGCATTTAGGCTGCTGTTCGGGCGTTCCCCAGGTGTTAGTGCTGCGAGCCTTTTGTGGGGCCTGGTCTGGAAGCCTGGGGGACCCCCTCTTCCTCTCAGGGTATCTGCTTCCTCCCCCAGAGTACAAGGCACAGAGAGCTGCCCACCCCACCTCGGGGAACCGAGACCTGCGGGCTCCAACCTCCGCTGGCTGAGCTGAGCCTCTCCAGTGAGCCAGGCCAGCCCTCCTTGTAAACATGGGGAAGTGGGGGTCCATGAAGCCCCAGCCTGGTGGCATAGCTCTTATCCCCCTCCGCAGACTGACCCTGAGGGATCTGTCAAGAGCAGCGGCGGCCTCAGACACACAGACTAATCCCTCGGCAAGGCCAGGCCTGGCCCTGCTGCCCATTGTTGGCTCTTCAGTTTGCGACTCTATCCCTCTTAATCTCTCCTTTGCACCCCTCTCTGGGCGGGCGCTGCCATCCTGGCCCATCCTCCTCCTCGACTCTGTTTCCTCTGATTAGGACCGCGGCTGGGAAAATGCAAGAGAGTGGCTCCTGTCCTCACGCACAGGACAAACAGGTCACCAGAGAAGCTACGAGCAGAGTTGTGCCAGACACGCACCTCAATGTCCCCAAGGCTTTGGCTCACGTGTCTGGGGCCCTGGCAGTGTGCCAGTGTGTGTGAGCAGGCACTGGGTATGCCTGTCTACTGGCGGGACCTCAGGGCAGGCAGGGGCACGGGGCTGAGACTTGGACCCAGGAGGTCCCAGGTTCCCAGGAATCTGCCCCATTTTCTAGAGGAAGGGCCTGAGGCTCAGGGGAAGGGGCTCCCCAGGATCACACCCTCCCTGGGGATCCCCACTGTCCCTGTGGCCCTGCAGGGAGCCCAGGCTTGGCTGGCAGCTAGGGCACTCCCTTCCAGCAACTGCGGAGCCTCCCCGCCTTCTCTGCGGCTGGTGGAGTTTATGAAATCTCCCCAGTGCCATAAATCATGTCAAGAGCTGCCTTCTGCACTTTCTAGCAGGCAGTGAGCCATGAAGCAGGGGATGTCCCTGTCCTCTCACACCTGGGGGTCCTGGAGGCTGCACCCAGAGCTCCCCGGAGTCCTTGACTCTGCATGGCAGGTCTGGTCCAGAGAGGGGCAGGTTGGGTGGGTGCAGCAGGGGAAACTCCCAGGGCTCCTGACCCCGGCTCTCCACCTCCCCCTCGGAGGTCAGAGGCCTCTCCAAACCCCTCTCCGCAGGCCCAAGCCCTTCTCTCTCTGCAGAGGGCTGGCCACTGGGCCCCTGAGCCTGCCAGGAGCTGCCAGGGCCTCACCTTGCCTGAAGGCTGGATGTTGGGGTGTGGGAGTGTGCCAGAGCAGAGGGAGCTGAAGTGGGAAGGCCGTGTCTGCAGCCGATGTGGGGCTGGTATTCCAGGCCCTCAGGCCTCATCCCGAGGGTGTCACTTGGTCACGTGACTGACTCCTTGCACCTCAGTTTCCTCATCTATAAAATGGGGTTCGCCTGAGGATTCTTAAGGTTTCTCTAGGTCATGGTGTGTGGCCCAGAATAGCACCTGGTCAGTAAGATCTTTCAGCATTGCTGTTTGTTCCACAATCACTGGGTGGCCTCCTGGCACCAGGCCTGGCCCTGCGCCTTGGGGTACAAATACACCTTACCCCTATCCCCTGGTCTACATCCTCTGGGGACTCCAGTCCTAAGTGGAAGACAGATGAGCTCCTGCCTGAATTTTGGCGGCGGCTGCATGGCACTCTCTGCTGTGGATGTGGATGTGCATGTGTACTTTTTTTTTTTTTTTTTTTTTTTGAGAAGGAGTCTCGCTCTGTCGCCCAGGCTGGAGTGCAGTGGCGCGATCTCGGCTCACTGCAAGCTCCACCTCCTTAGTCCACGTCATTCTCCTGCCTCAGCCTCCCAAGTAGCTGGGACTACAGGTGCCCCCCACCACACCCGGCTAATTTTTTTTTGTACTTTTAGTAGAGACGGGGTTTCACCATGTTAGCCAGGATGGTCTCGATCTCCTGATCTCGTGATCCACCCGCCTTGGCCTCCCAAAGCGCTGGGATTACAGGCGTGAGTCACTGCGCCCGGCCAATGTGCACGTGTACTTAATCAGTCCCCCACAGCTGGACATGAAGGCTACTTCCATTGTCTCACGGCTATTGCTGTAACTCAATGGCTGCCCACAACCCTGCTATTTCCTTGGGCTCAGTTCCTAGAGGTGAGGTTGCTGGTTCAAAGGGTCTGCATGTTTTTGAGGCTCTGCCTTCCAGAAAGGTCTTGTATAGGCAGCTGGGGTGATGGGAGTTCAAAGTGCTCAAAGGTTCAAAGTACTTCGAAGCCTGAGAAGGGCCATGCGGCCCTGGAGAAGCAGCATGCGTGGGGCCCAAGGCCAGAAGGATCTGAGTATGGGACAGGTGGAAGAATGGTTGGGGGGCCATCGCTGGGCCTTGGCAGGGTGCCCCGGGCTGGGCACGGAGGATGCCTCTCCTAGGGCAAGTACTTACATGGACCCCAAGTTCCAGGGGAGGTGGCTCGGGGTGGACGTTGAGGAGGAGGACAGTGAGTAGCATGAGAAATTAGGCTTTAAAAAAAAATTTAGACAATGTTTTTTTCTGATTTCAAAGGCTTGTGTGCTCGTAAAACTTTTGAGAAATATAAAGGAGTAAAAAAGTCACCCATAATGGCACCACTCAGATAGGACCACTGTTAACATTTTGCTGTGTCTTCCAGGATTTTTTTATGCATTTATATATTTTATATATTTTTAAACAAAAATAGTATCATGCTATATACATTATTTTATAAGCTGCTTTTTCTCCCTATCACACAGTATGTCTTTCCTCATCAGTGCATATAAATCTGCCTTAATTCTTACACAGGCCGCATGGCATTCTCTGCTGTGGACGTGCATATGTATTGAATCAGTCCCCCACAGGTGGACACGAAGGTTATTCCCATTGTCTCGCAGCTCAATGTCTGCCTGCAACCCCGCTATTTCCTTGGGCTCAGTTCCTAGAGGTGAGGTCGCTGGCTCAAACGGTCTGCCTATTTTCGAGGCTCTGCCTTCCAGAAAAGTCATGCAGGCAGCTGACCCTCCCCACAGCCAGGGTGGTGAGGCAGGTGGGCTGGGGGTGGCATAAGCCTGGGCTGTAGTGCACTCTTATTCTCCCCGCTTCTCTCTCTCTCTCTAGGGCTGAACCCATCAGAACCACTGTCTTCCAGTACCCCGTGGGCTGGCCACCAGTTCAGGAGCTGCCTCCATCCCTGCGGGCACCCCCACCTGGGGGGTGGCCTCTGCAGCCCAGAGTCCAGTGGGGCTGAGCCCCTTGCCCCCGACTGACCCCCACGTGGTCACTTTTCTCATCAGTCACAATAGGAAGCCAAGCCCGGTTCCTGCTACGCCCCATGGAGGCTCCGAGACCATCTGCCCAGCCTCACTGAGGCTCAGGACACGGCCACACCAAGTGCAGCCCTCGTCCTGGGTCTGCACCGGGCAGCTCTCCCCTCACTCTCCTCCACCTGCCCCCCTGCTTCTTAAGAAGATGGGGGAGAAAACTTCCAAATGTTTATAAAGAAAGTCTGTCACCACAGTGGTCTGGCTGTGTTTCCCTACACTGGGTGCTCTGAGCTCTGTTCTCCAGCCCCTAGCAGAGGTCGGGCAAGGAGGGAATCAGATGAGATTTTCCCCAGGTGACCCACGCTCACTCCCTTCTCCCTTGGGACCAGCAGAGGTTCAGCACGGCCAGGCAGAGGGTGTGCCAGGGTGGCTGTGCCCGTTGCCTGGTAAGAAGTGGCTCTAGGCCCAAGGAGCCCAAGGGCTCCATCTGCCATCCCCGCCCTGGAAGAATCCACAGCCCCCATGTCTGCCCATGCTGAGCTGCTGCCCAAGTATTTGGGATGGCACAGCTGGGGCATGGGAGCGGGGTCTCCAACCTTGAGGGCGTAGAGAAGTGGGAGGACAGGAGGGCAGGCCCTGGGCTGAGAGAGTGGCCTGGCGCAGCCTCTTGGCACTGACAGTGTGGGGCTGTGCCAGTTTCTTGGCCCAGGAGGTAGTACAGGGGCCCTCCCAAAGTTCAGCCCTGGAGGAGCCCCCTGGCTGGAGGCTGCTCAGAGCCTTCAGGCCCCAGCTCTGCCTCCTTCCTCAGCTGGACTACAGTTCTAGGCTCTAGGCTGGGGTGGTGGACAATGTGGCCTTGGTAGCTGGGCCTCTGGTGGGAGGGCCAGAAGGTGGGGGGCTGCAGGGCCACCTCAGATGCCCATCCTCCACGAGCTTCTGCCTTTCCTGAAAATCCCTGTGGAAGGAAGAACTGAGGCCAAGTCTCGGGGCCCTGAGCCTCGGGTTCCTCACCTGTGAAATGGGCTGGCCCAGCAGGTACATGGAGAAAAGGGGGTCTGGGTTGGGGTCCAACGAGGGTCAGAGGAAGGGGCCCAAGGAGAAGACCAGGGGCCTCCTCAGGCTATGCCAGGCAGCAAGGCCCAGGACACCCTGGCTTCCCACCCTCCCCCAGGAGAAGGCTTTCTGTCCCTGCCTGTGCCCTGTGCCCTGGGCAGACCTCAGGGACCAGGGCTGGGTTGGCTGTGTGGCCCCAGATAGGCTGCTGTCTCAAGGCACAGGGTGCCCGCTCCTGCCCAAGGGACCACAGCAGCGACTGGGTCCTGGGGGTTCCTGTGCAAATCCCTCCTTAATTTCCCAGGAGCCCCTGGATGGTAGGAAGAGTGAGTGCTCCTTACAGGCCAGGGTGGGGACAGGGTGGGGCTGGGGACCATCCTCAGAGCCACCACCCGGCCCTCCACAGCCAGGCCACAGCTCCAGGTGAGGACCGTGGGTGGGTGGGGAGGGCTCGCTGGATACCCAGGCCCTGAAGTACACGCAGATGGCGGCCCAGGGAGCCGGCCAAGGGAGAGGTCTGCAGGCGGCGGTGGTGTGGGGCGGGCCACGGGCACCGCATGCGGTGGATGGGGCATCCAGGTGGCGTCTACTTCATGCCACTGCGCAGCACCTGGTTGGCCGCAATGAGCATGACACTGATGATGAAGGCGATGGCGAAGGCGCAGATGAGACTCTTGCGCACGCAAGTCTGGCGGATCTGCTGGTTGGAGCAGGCTGTGGCCGCCCGCCGGGAGCACCGGGGAGACAGAAGGGGACATCAAAGCGATGGAGTCAGGAGCCGCCTGCCCTTCGGCACATGGGCTCATCCCATGGGGTGCCCCAATGGGACAGAGGCTTAGGACAGGCAAGGAGGCCCCCAGCCCCCCTCTGCAGACTCTCCCCACCCCGTGCGTCCCCCTGGCCAAGTCACTGGGCCCACCCGTGGGGTTCCAGGGCCAGCCACTCACTCTCCACATCCACGGGACACTCCTCGGCTGTGCCCAGGTGGCTCTCCTCCTCCGTCATGATGATGTTCTCTATGTCCTTCATGGACAGGTGCTCGCAGAAGGTGTCGTAGAGCAGCCGCTTCAGCTCATCCACCGTCAGCTTCTGCATGTCGCACTTGCGGAGGGGGACAACACGGTGCTCTGAGAGCCACCGCAGCCCCCACCCAGCACCCCACGGCCATACAGACCCGGTGACAGGCCTCTAGATTCTGGGGGGCTGGAAAACACTTGCTCCATTCCCCCAGAGAGTCCTTGACCAACACCGGCCTCCCCAGGGAGCCCATGGCCCTCTGAGAGGTGAAATGTCCAGTGGACACAAGCCTGAAGTGGTCATCCCCCCTTTACAGTGTGGGCCCAGCCATTCACTGGCTCCAGAACAGAACTCCACAGTGTGCACAGCCCTGGGTCCCAACTAGCCAGGGGATACCTTCCAGAAGACAGTATCAAAGTCGGTGCCATGGAACTTCTCTGGGATCCCTGAGGTGGAGAGTTTGGGTCCCAGAAGGGTCACAAACTCCTCAAAGTCCACTTGACCATCACCTGGTGGAGGCACAGGTCCAATCAATCAGTGGGTAGGGCCCAGGCCTGCAGCCCAGGGCCCAGAGGTCCTGGGATGGAGTCTTGATACACCTTGGGCCTACCGGGTGGCCTTAGGCAGGTGCCCGCCTTCTCTGAGCCTTGAGTCAGTGTCAGGGGCATCTACCAAGTGCCAGGCTCTGGGCTGACGCTGAAGCCACCCAGTGTGATGAGGCCTTACAAGGGGAGGTGGAGGTAGACAGCAGGTGGGCCGTGACCCTCCTATTTCACCCAGAACCCTCCGTTGCTCCCAGCACCCTGCGGCCATCCTGGGGTGGGCCATCCTCCACCATATAGACAGGAACTGAAGCTCAGAGTGGGGCAACCTGCCAAGGCTGTCACCTGGCCTCTGGATGGAGAAGAGGAGAAGAAGGGCCCGGGTGGGATAAAGAGGGGGCTTGGCATCACTATTCCTTATGAACTTTTCCTTAATAAAATGCCAGGTGGCAAACACAACTCAAGTAGTCATTTTATCTCAGGTGGTGGGAACTGGAGTATTTATTGCATCCTTTTACTTCTCTGTACTTTAAAACTTCTCAACACAGAGTGAAAGGAGCCATCTCTGAGCCCTGCATGTGGCTGGGACTGTCACTACCTCTCTGGCCTCAATTCTCCAGGCTGAGAAATGGGGCCAGACCGGGCTGCAACCTGCCACGGACTTTGAGGGTGGGAGTCAGGGGAGCGAGAGACCCAATTTGGATGCAGCCTCAGCAGCTCAGGCCCCAGCCCCTGCCCCACCCCCAGGGCCCAGATGCCAGGTGGGGAAACCGAGGCGGGGGGGTGCTCACCATCCATGTCCAGCCGCTGGATGATGACCTCCAGCTCCACCTCGTTGGGCATGTAACCCAGTGAGCGCATGGCTGTGCCCAGCTCCTGCTTGGAGATGAAGCCATTGCCGTCACGGTCAAACACCTTGAAGGCCTCTCGGATCTCTGAGGAGAGAATGGAGTAGGCTGGGACTTCACCCCGGTCCCCAACAGACCCCCTTTCCAGACCCCCAGGATCACCGACCCTGCAGCCTGAGCATGGCCTTGAGAGCCCAACCCAGAGCCTGCAGATCTGGTGAGAGCATGGCCCGAGGGTGCACAAGGGTGCCGTATTCTGGGACCTCTGGGCAGGCTGAGCAGGGCAGTAAAGCAGGGCTCAAGGCCCCCCAGCAGTGACCTCTTGGGATCTGATTGCGCCAGGCTCTCACAGCCTCTCCTGGTGTGCTCACAACGACCCCGTGTGGTGGGGACCACGTGCAGGGGAGGATGCTGGATCTCCCCGGCCCCCGCGGCTGCTGACGGCTTCCCCACCCGCCCCCATTCCTTTCATCCCCCTCTCCCCCACCATCTCCATCCCGCTGCGCCTCCTCCCCCAGGCTCGGATCCTTAGATCCTTAACACCGGCCAACACTTGCTAATGGCAGCCACGTGAGGCAGCTTGCTCCAGACTAATGGGCTGACAGGCGGCACAGACCTCTTTTGGTTCAGGGAAGACAGAGGGGGAAGGAGCCCCCCTCCAGGTCCAGGCCAGACCAGACTGGGTGGGGGGTCGCCCTCCACACTGTACGGAGCAGAAGACCGAGGCCTGATGACCTCGGTGACTCAGGTGGTGAGCAATGCACTGCGCTGGGAGCCCGGGGAACAAGCAACCCAACCTGTGACCTTGGGCCAGCCTCAGTTTTACCCACAGTGAAATGGGCAGAATGATGGTGGGGACTCCCTGGCACACAGTTGAGGGGGTCCTCACCTGTCACCTTAGCTGTACTGCTGTCTCTTCTGTTTCTCTGTTTTTAAGGGCTGCTGTCCCTTAATCATCACAGCCCCAGCAGGGCCCTAAACAGCATTTGCCTTTGGGAGTGGGGGGCGGGGCTCGATGCTCTCTCCGGCTCCCGGGGGTCTCCTTGTTTGCTTGCCAGCCACCTGGCCTTTGCCTAAGCTGTTCCCCTGGGTGGACTTTTAGCTTTCAGCAGGCAGAATCAATCTCCTCATGTGAGAGAGGGTGTGTATCTGTGTGTTTAAAAGTAGAGACACGCGAGGTGCTCCGTGCTGCAGACCAGAAACAGGCTGAGAGAGCCCCAGCGGCCGGCCCAGAGTCAGCGTGGGCTCAGAGCTGCTGTTGCTTGGGCTGGCCCAGGCCTTGCCTTAAGGGGTCCATGAACCCTGAAACTGCTCATAGGACCTTGCACTTTGGAGTCATTCCCTAGTCTCGGGGGACAGGGGAGCCTAGCCCAGCCTGTTGGTCTCACCACAGACTAGGGGCCATGGCCCGGAGAGGATGGCCACATGTCCCAGGCCACACTTCGAGGTGGCTTGGGCGGAGGCCCCACCCTTATCAGGCTTATCCCACTGGTGTCCACACCCAAGGCCTGAGGGTCAGACAGGCTCACATGTGCACCGGGGTTGCCTGGGCCCCCAGACTTTCTGACTCTGGACTTCCCCTTCACTCATCCCACCAGGACCTGGGAATCTCGTCTCCTAACCAATGGCCCCGGGGCCAGGGAAGCATCTGGGCGGGGAGGTCTGTGCCAGGGCCACAGGATTCTGCAAACCCTGGACTCTGGGAACTCCAGGCCAATTCCCACCTGGAGCTTTCCTGGGCCACCAAAGAGGTGGTGAGCTCCCCGTCACAGGGGATGTGTGAGCTGAGGCCTGTCAGCCACGGAGGCTGCTGAGGGGATTCCGGTCCCTAGAGCCTCTAGGTAGAGCTGGAGGCATCTGCACACACACGCTTAGGTTTCCGGCCAGCACTGCTGGCCTCCTCGCCCGGCCACATGTTCTGCCCACCCCAGGTGTCCTGAACTCCATCCAGGCTAGGGGCCCTCTCGGTCCTGTGGGTACCAGGACTGCTCCATCTCCAGTCCTTTGAACACGCAGCCCATTTTGCCTGAAGTGCTCTTCTGCTCGCCGTGGCAAACCCCGACACAACCCCAGCTCTCAGCTTGAACGGCACCATCTCCCTGGTGCCCTCCCTGTTCCCCACTGGCCAGCTCTGGCCCTCCTCTGGGCCCCCACAGGCCCTGCTCTTGCCCCATCCTTGCATGGGCCACGCTGGATTGTGCACTACAAGGGCCATGACAGCAGGGAGGGGCTGGTCTTGTTCGTGGCTGTGTCCCTGTTGCCTGGAACGGGGCCTGCCTCTTCGAGCATAAACATTTGCTGAATGAATGATGAAATGAATGAATGACTGATGTGGGGAGCCCATCCATCTGAAGCACGCAGTTCTCTGGCTCTTCTGAGCAGCAGTTCACATACCGCTTGCTGTGAAGCCGCTACTCAGAGCCCACGAACAATCCTGGTTAGGGGACACGTTCATTTCCACTCCCCAAGCAGCCGAGAAGCAGACAGGGAGGCTGAGGAGGCTGCTTGATCCCTTTTCCAGCCCCCAAGGATGCCATCCCCACCTGCCTGCGGGCCACCCGTGGAAGAGGGGCCTCAAGCTGAAGACGAGTGGGGGCCAGACGGTGGTGTGGGGAAGGAGGACCAGGGTCAGGCACCGCTCCTCCTCCTCCCTTTCCTCCTCTGCAGGGTCCTGCCTGGGAGATGTCAGGGAGGGATGGCAAAGTCCTGGACTCACAGTAGGGGATGCAGTGGGAGCCACCCCCTCCCCTGCCTGCTGTGAGCTGAGCTCCAGGTCATCCCTCCTACCCTTCGGGAGCTCCCAGAGCCCAGGGCTGCTTTGCTGGAGCCCCTGAGTCCCTTTGCTGGAGACCCTGAGAAAACGCACTGGGCCGAGGGGAGCCAGGGGAAGGCAGGTGAATATTGGGATGCACGGGCAGGCGATAAGCTGGGAGGCAGCCCTGCAGGCCCAGCAGCCTTTTCTCAGGCAAGGCTTACCTTCCCAGGCCACTAGGTAAATCCACACACTGCCACCTCCCCATGCATGAGTCCCTTTAACACCCCTCCTTGGCACATCCAACACACCACAAAGTCTCACCTTGGTGCCTTTGCCTGTGCTGGGAGCCCTGCCCCAGCCGACTCCCACCCGCCCACAGAGGCCGGGTTCAGGCACCACCTTCCCAGCCAGGGAGGCAGCCTGAAGTGGCAGAGACCCAAGGTCAAGTCCCAGCTCTCCTACATCCTGGCAGGGTGACCTTGGGCAGGTATTTGCTCACCTGTACAATGGGGCTGCTGGGATGATTAAGCAATAAAATCAAGCATGTGTCTGGCTGGTCCTGGCTCAGAGATGGATGCTATAAATCAGAATGTCCCAGATAGCAGAGCCAGAAGAAGAGGGAGGACTGAGTGAGCTTGGGACACCAGGCCACCTTTCCTGTTGGCGGTCGCTGGGACCAGAGGCCTGGGCTTGGATTCTGGCTATCCTGCTTAGCAGCCCAGTGGCCTGGGCAAGTCACGTCCCTCTCTAAGCCTCGGGTGTCTCATCTGTGAAATGGGGAGCGACTCCGGCACCATCACTGAAGCCCGGCCTCTGCCGGGGGCTCCCTGAGTGGGGCAGGTGTCGTGATTTCCTGCCACCGTTGTGCCATCAGCACCCCACAGCTGGGTGCATTTCCCCGAAAGCCTTGCTCCCTTCCCGTCCCGTAAGGCCAAGGGTAGCCTGACGGGTACCATCTTGGCATGAGGATGCTGGCAATGGGCTGGCAGGGCCACCAGGTTTCCAGGCTGACCTGCCCCCTACCTGCCACCTCCAGCCTAACATCCCCCAATGTCCTTCTCAACCTGTGGAGTTTCATCAGGGCCCAAGTCCCCAGCAGACTCCAAGGGACATCCGCACTCCATCAGGCAGCCAGAGTCCAGAGGGCAGGCACTGGCTGGAGGTCACTGAAGAGGGTAGTGTCCATCCTCCGCAGTGGCTGCTACTCTCCGTGGCACTGGCCCCGTGCCCCACCACTCTGGCCTCCCTGAGCTTTTGGCTGTGCAGAGGCGGCTCCTGGCCTTGCAGGGCAGAGAGGTAGGAAAGGGGACTCCCCAGCCTCCCCTGCCCTAAAGGCCCCCATTTGGCCACTCTCAATGAAGGCTCCACTCACAGACTGGGCAGGCCAAGTGTCAGCCCCAGAGCCCTACCCTGGGGACTGTCTGCCTGGAGGTCTGACTCCTTCCTCCTCTCTTCGGCCAGAAAGGGCTAAGACTTGCAGCCACCCCATTCCCACCCTTGGGTGCTCGAGTCAGCTGATGGTGCTGGGACCAGCCTCAGTGTTCCTGGAGGACTCTGCTGTGTGTGTATGTTGGAAAAGGTGTATGTCCCAGCCATGGTGGGCACACAGAGGGGATCTAAGAGAGTCCGTGCCTGTCCCTCACAGGGCCTGGGTGGGCCTCAGGCCAGCTCTGTGCAGCCACATTCCTACCCTGCCAACTGCCCTCCATGCCTCCCCAGGGCCACAGGTCCCCAGAGACCTTTTCCAGACCTTCAAGGCCTTTTCCACCCAGCTCTCCCTGCCAGCCTGCCCTTCTGGCTCAGCCTCCTGCACACCCTCACGGGCCTGGGCCCTGCACGCTCCAGCCTCTTACCCCCGCAGGGCCTCCCCTCATGTTGCATCTGGGTCCCTGAGCCCCCTGTGCTAGGTAGGTACTTTCACTGCATCCTCCATCACCAGCCCCCCTTTTATAGGTGGGGAAACCAAGGCTCAGAGAGGTGAGCGATTGCCCAAGGTCACTCCATGAGCTGAAGGTGCAGAGACTCAAACCCAGCGCCGCCTGGCTGGGAAGCCCTCATCTTAACTCTGTGCTTCCCACCTCCCTGCCTGGTCCTCCTTTCCGCTCAGACTGACCGCCCCCTGGATTTCTGCGGCAGGCACGTACTGTCTGCAGCATTCCATCCCGGGCTGCCCAGCTCCCTCTTCCTGGCACATGTGGCTCCTCCGCGAATGGCGTCCTCCCGGCAGAGGGCCTGGGTCTCGCCCAGACCGCCCTGGGGCAGGAGCACTCATGAGGCCCTGCAGAGGCGGAGAGGGCAGAGGGGGATCCGTGCCAGGAATGGCCAGCCCTGGCATTCAAGGACTGCTGAAAGGGACCTGGGGCCGCCAGAGGGCTTTTAGGGCACCTGCAGCCAAGAAGGGGGCTGGTCATGGAA
Source organism: Homo sapiens (assembly GCF_000001405.40). NCBI lineage: Eukaryota > Metazoa > Chordata > Mammalia > Primates > Hominidae > Homo > Homo sapiens. Next base: position 29,722,578 of record NC_000022.11, on the reverse strand, counting down.
AACTTCTTGCCTTCATCTGTAGCTGCCCACTGGGCCAGAGATGAGCTGGGACCACCCAGGCATCTGTCTACTCCATGACCCCACCTGCCCATCCCAGGGAGGGCCCTGCCCTTCAGATGCCCCCTGAGTCAGGGCCCCTCAGCTCCCCAGGGCCCAGGAGAAGGGGACAGGAGAGAAGCGGGGAGGGCACTTGTTGTGGCTGGTGACTAACGCAGCTGGGCTCCTGCCAGCACGCCATGTCGTTGGTTGGGGAGCCTGCGGCCTTGCCCCTGCACTGCCCACCCTGCGGCCCCTCGCCCCTGCAGCCAGCCTCTCAGCCTCTCCCCTTCCTCAGGGAGTGCACTCCAGGACTGGGGATCAGGAGAGGAGGGACCCAGAAAGGGCTGGAGTTGGGGTGGTGGGGTCCTGGTGGGGGTGCTGGGAGCAAGGGGAGGGAGTGAAGCGGAAGCTGCCTGGGGTCTGGGAGACATGGTGACTCCTGCTTGGATGGTCAGGAGGAGGGGATGGATGAGGGCCTCTGGAGGGAAAAATCTGCAGGAGGTTTGAGGTGGCCCAGGGCCGGAGGGGACAAAGGTGGGGAGGAGAAGGCCTATGCTCCATCTCCTGACCTTTCGCCCCCCACCATCGTACCCCTCCTTTCCCCGGGCTCTGGAGGAGGCTCTGGCCCTGGGTTTTAGGGGTGAATGGTGAGGTCATGTCGGGGGGCCCCAATCATCCATCTGTCCTGTCCGCATCAGACCCCAGACCCTGTCTCCACAGCTCTCCCCGCTTCTGAGGGTTTGCAGGGGCAGTTGGTGAGGAGCCTGGTGGCTCATGCCTATGGTGCAGTGAGCGAGGCAGAGGCTGCCTTCTCTCTCTGGATCTTCCCCCGACCCATTCTGACTCCTCTAAGATCTGCCCTCACCCTGGGCCTGGGTTGAGGGAGGACCTCCCTCCATGGCTTCCCCTGGGCTCCCACCATCCTCCCTGACTGTGCTGGTCTTGGCTGCACCCTCCCAGGCCCTAATGAGCCTCCAGATCTCAGAGACCCCTGGATCCAAGGTACCCCGAGAGGCCCATCCTCTGGGTGAGCTCAGCCCCTTGCAACAGCAGACATGCAGATCCCAGGAGGCCGTGACCCCCATCAGCCCAGATCCCCCACTCCACTCCATATGGGGGCTCCAGGAGGTCTGGGGGGAGGGGAAACCTCAGCACCTCCCCCAGCCCAGCAGGGAAGGAGCTGGGCGGGCCCCAGGGGTCTCACTGCTCCTCAGGACACACTGTCCCGGACCCCTGCCCCTGCCCTCTGCTCTGACCTCGCCCAGCCAGCGGCCTGCCATCCCCCTGCGAGTCTGAGAGGCAGGGGGAACGGGGTGGGGGCGGGTTTGGGTCCTGGCCTCTCTGCCTTTCCCTTCCAGGCTTGGCTATCGCGACTTAGCCGCCCAGTCCGGCCACTTGTTGTCGCCACCGCCTCCCGGGCCGCCTTCCCGGCGCGCCGGGCTGGGGGTCCCCGCAGGGCTGCAGGGAAGGGGCTACGGCCGCAGGTGGGGACGGGGGCGGCCCCGCAGCGGGCAAGAGCAGGGCAGTCGCCCTCTCCCCTTCTGCTGCTGCCCGAGCAGATTGAATTTTTAAAGCGACACGAGCGGAATGTCAATGCGAGCAGAGAGCCGCGGGCGGGCGCCGCGGAGGGGATCAGGATGCGGGTGCTCCGGCCGGGCCGGCGCTGGGGGCTCAGCGCGGACCCCCGCCCCAGTCCGCCGCGTTGCCGCACCGTCACCGCCGACTGCGCGGCCCCGTGACCCCGCTGCGGGGCCCGGCAAGTTTCCGCAGCGCTGGGGACCACGCGGGCAGGGGCTGGGCCGCTCTCCGCCTGAGCGACCCCCACCGCGGCGCCCCGGGGTGCGGACAGGTCTTGCCGCGGGGCACAGCTGCTAGCTGGGGCGCCCACCTGGCAACCGGCACCTGCGGACCGCCCCCCGCCCCCCGCCCCCGCGCCCCTGGCCCGCGCTTCACCTGGGCGCACAGGTAGGAGGGCCGCCGGGGCGGGGATCCCGGCGGACACTCACCCTCCAGCTCGTCCTCCGGGATGTCCACCGGGCGCTGCTCCGACAGCAGGTTGGGCACGGTGTAGATGCCCCGGTACATCAACGCCGCCGTCACCGGGTGGAACGGCATCTTGGAGGCTCCGCGCCCGCCCGCCCGCCGCAAACTTTGAGGCCGGGGCTCATGGGCCGGTGGCGGCCCCGGGGGCGGCTGGAGCGGGCGGGGCGCGCGGCTGCGGAGGGCGGCGGCGGCAGCGGCGAGGCTGGGGACGCCCCTCCGGGGGCCTAGCGCCCCCGCGCCCCGGGCCGCCGGGCCATGCCGCCCGCTCCCTCGTCGGGCTCCCAGCCGGGGCCCCGCAGGGGCAGCGGGGGCGGCGCCGCTCTGGCCTTTCCGAGAGCTCCGGCTGCCTCGCGCGGTGCCCGCCGCGCCCGCTCCTCGGTGCCCCGCGCGCTCCGCGCTGCTCGCCGCCCGCTAGTCCGCTCGCCGGCGCGGCCGCTACCGGCCCGGCGCTCAGGCTGTAGCCGCCTCTCCGCTCGCTCGCTCGCTCGTTCTGTGCCGCGCTGGCTGCGCTCCCCGCCTCCCCCGCCAGCCGCCCGCCCGCCCCCTCCGCGCTCCCCACCCCCAGCCCGCCCCTTCCCGCCGCCGGCCCCTGAGCGGCCGCCCCAAACCTGCCCGGGGCTCCTTCTCCCCTTCGGCCCCGATTCCCCTTTCCCACTAGGGCTCCCCTCTGTTCACTGGCTCTCCTCACCCTAAGTCTGCAGCCACCAGGACCAGGGAGGGGGTGGGTTGCGGGGGTCCTCCTTCCTGCCCCTTGGCTCACCTTCCCCCATCCACGCACCAGGAGCGGAGAGCCCGGAACTAAGAACTGTAGACCCAGAGAGGTGAGACTGGCCCCAAGCACCTGGGTCCTCAAGAAGAGTCACCGTTTCCGTGCCAGGAGGATCCAAGGTGGGGAAACTGAGGCTGAGAGAGAAGGACGTTGACCAAGGTCACAGGGCAGGAGCAGCAGGTAAGAGCTGGGTACACGTCTGGGGTAGGCTTCCTGCCCTGCCTGTGACTGACACCCTGCCGCTGACCTTGCTCCCCACAATGGGGCCCCAGTCCCGGACCCTTCCCAAGCCCCTACCTTTCAGCTTGCAGAAGAGGAGCCAAAGTGTCTCATGGCCCCCAGGGCAGTTCGGGACAGAGACATGGCCCGGTGCCTGTGGGGTCTGGTGTGAGGGCCTGCCAGTTCACATGGCTGCAGCTCAGACCTAATGTATGTGCAGGGCTTCCCCAGGCCCCAGGGCACGTCGGCACCCCAGAGCTGGGGTGGGGGCAGGTGTTTGAGGGAGCAGCCTGCGTGTGCATATGTCTGCTATCCATGAGGGTGTGTATGTGCCACTGGGCACGTGCGCAGGTGTCTGTGACTCCATATGCAGATGGACAAATGTCGGGAGTGTGTGGCCACCTGTGTGTGCCAAGGTTGTACGCTGGCAGGTCGGGGGAGGTGTGCAGGCCCTGGGGCTGGGAGTGGTGTGGGCATATGGTGCACAGATGTGCATGGGAGGGGGTGACCTTCTGGCCTGGCTGTGGCCCCATCTCTGGGTGCTTCCCTGAATCCCCCTACTGGGACCACCTCCCTGCCCCCTTTGGCCCAATCAGCTAAAGGTCCCAGCAGGAACGCTGATTGCACAGCCCTGCCCGGTCCTGCCCTGCCCTTCCCAAGCTGATTACACTTTTCTGCTTGTTTCTGTTTTTGTTACTGATTAATCGCAGCCTTGTCTCAGGGTCTGGGGAGAAGGGGCTCAGTGAGAGATGCTAGCCCCAGCCAAGCGGGGTTGGGTCAGCCTGGGCCCAGCACTTCCTGGGCCCTGCTCTGGAGGGAGCTCCTAGAAACATCTATAACCTGCGGAGGAGCCAGGAAGGACACCAGCTGTCTGTCTGTCTCCCCAGACCTCTCCGGGCTAGCTGGTTGCCCACTGGGACCTGGGCCTGGAGGTGAGAGAGGCCCCAGAAAAGCTCCCACCCCACTCCAAAGCTCTCCTTGCCCACCTGTCCCATCTTCTGACCTTCCACCGCTAGAGCTGAATGCCTTGAGCTTCCCCAGTGTTTTTGATGGAGCAGAGACTTGAGGAAGTAAGAACCCAGCACCAAGAGCCAGGCAGACTGGGGCTTCTGCATCCACCATCTCCTCACCATGGAACTACAGTCAGGTCCCTTAACCGGCCATAGCCTCAGTTTCCCTGCCTGTTAAGGTGGCAGTGCCACATCCCAGGCAGCGGTGAGGATGAAGTGACATAATGTAGGAAAGGTGCCGGGCATCACCTCCCTGAAACTCTTGGGAGTTTCCTATTAGCATGAACATCCCCCCCAAGGAATAGGAATTAATAATAATTATAGCTTCGAGTATTGATTGAGAGAGCGAGCCGCAGCAGCAGCTCAGTCGTTCCACGTTTACTAAGTGTCCAGGCTGTGCCAGCCCAGGCCTGTCAGTTCTAAATCAGAACCCCTGGGCCAAGGGAGAGTGGGCTAGAGCCTGCTGAGAGGCTGGCAGGAAACCCAGCTCCCAGTGACTCCCTGGGAGGCCGCTGCAGAGCGTGTTGGTACTCGCCCTGTGAAGGGGAAGCTCCTGGGCTTGCTGTCCAGGTGGGTATTTTTTTTTATTTTTTTAGGTGGAGTCTTTCTCTGTTGCCCAGGCTGGATTGCAGTGGCATGATCTCGGCTCACTGCAACCTCCGCCTCCCAGGTTCAAGTTATTCTCATGCCTCAGCCTCCCGAATAGCTGGGACTACAGGCACATGCCATCACACCCAGCTAATTTTTGTATTTTTCGTAGAGAACATGTTGGCCAGGCTGGTCACAAACTCCTGACCTCAAGTGATCTACCCGCCTTGGCCTACTAAAGTGCTGGGATTACAGGCGTGAGGCACCACTCCCAACCCATGGTGGCTTTTTTTTTTTCAAGTCAAGGGAATTCCAGGGGTCAAGAGGAGGGTGGGCAAAAGCTCAGAAGTGTGAGAGGGCCTCTCTTAGCTCTGAAGGGCAGGTCTGGGTCTGGGTTCTCCAGATCTCCTACGCTTGGCACAGGACTGGAATGGGCTAAGGTGGCTGGGGCTGGATGAACATCTGTCAAATGAATGAACGAGAGAATTAGTGAATGAACGACTGCCCGCTCACCACCGCCCCCCGCCCTTCGGCATTGCAGCCCCGTCCTCTCCTCTGTGCGTCACGGGGGAGCAGATGGCATGATCACAGGGTGTGAATTATGTCTGTCGCTCCCCCATCTGGGGAAGGTGCTGCTGCCATCACACTGCACTCTCTGGGGTGCCCACCGGGAGATGCCTGAGCCTCAGGTCCTCCCAAGAGGGGTTCTCCACAGGCCTTGCTAACTAATCATTGGGTCAGGAGGCTAGAGACACTGGGAGAGGTGACACGCTGAAACCTGTGATTCCAGGGGGGTTCCCCAAGTGGGAAGGAGACAAGGGGAGAGAGGTGGGAACTGCCATGTTCAGAGGCCAGACTCTTCCCTCCCTGAGACTGGAGCCCACTCCTTTCAAGAGCAGCACAGTCCCTGCCCTCCCTGGCCAGAGACCTCTTGTCCGAGGCCAGCATCCTCTTGCCACATTCAGCACCAGGGAGAGCTCCCAGCAGAGCTCAGGGCCCAGCTGTGTAGAGTGAAGCTGTGGAGGGACCCACAAGAGCCGGCCAAGGCTATCAATGAACCCATTGTCCAAACGAGGAAATCAAAGTGAAGAGGGTGTAAGCTTCAAGTTCAAGATCATGCTGGGACCAATAATTGCAGCCCTACCCAAGCCAGGGCTCCTGCTGGGGGAGAAGGTACTGGAGGAGGGGAGGTAGTGGTGGTAGGGAGGGGATGTCCAGGGAGGGCAGAGGCTATGGCCTCTGCTCCTAGGCTGAGGAACAATATTGTTCCAAGAACGCACTGGGGACAGTGTCTGGAGGTGAATAAAATATTCATTGTCCGGGCAAACTCCCGAAGTCAACTAATGAATAATGGAATTTATAGACTCAAAGATGCACACCGGGCTGAGAGGGGGTGCAGGCCAGAACCCAGAGGCCCCAACTGCTCAGATCCCTGCTCTTCTCTGGCTACCCCCCTCTGAACGCCCACATGCCCAGCTCTTGAAGGTGACAGGAGCGGAAAGGACAACAGGGAACAGAGTCCATGTGAGGGAAACAGAGTGAAGGGGACAGGCCCTTGAATTTGTTGCTATTGGGGGAAGGAACTTGGTGATGGGAAAAGAGCACTGGACTCGGAGTCCAGTGCAGCTGGGATGAAGTCTGACCCCTGCTACCAGCTCTATGACTTGAGTGTAGCCCCTGCCCTGGTCTCAGTTTTCGTCCCTGTAAAATGGAGTTTATGCTGCCACCACACAGCTTGCTGCAGGGATCTGCTGAGGTGACAGTGCTTGGTGCTGCTGTCCGAGGCTGGACCTTCTGAGCCTCCCTCTCAGGCTCAGGGCCCAGCTGCGGAGGGTGAAGCTATGGAGGGACCTAGGAGAGCTGGCCAAGGCTATCAATGAACCCATTGTCCAGACAAGGAAATAAAAGTGGAGAGGGTGTAAGCATCAAGTTCAAGGTCATGCCAGGACAGTATCCCCCGGCTGCACTGGGTCCAGCTGGAAGGGAGGGGAGACATGGTCCCCAGAGGAAAGAAGCTGCCAGCCCTCAGGGCAGGGATGATGTCAATAACTGCAAAATCCTGGCTCACCCTGCCACACATTCAAGTGCACTGCCCTGTATCCCCCCGAAAGGTTCTGCTCCCGTTGGTCTGGGCTGGGAGCAGAAACTTGGGGGGTGGGGCAGGTATTCTTCTAAAGCTCCTCTACGTGCTTCCAGGGTGCAGCCAGGGTTAGAACCAATGTTCCAGAGGGAAACTGAGTCTGGATAGGGGTAAGAGGAGCCTGGGGATGTCCCCGTTAGGAAATCACAGAGATCCTGTCCCTGGCGTCCTCTGGGCCTCCACCTATGCCCGGGGCCTGGCGGGGCTGCTGGCTGGGAGGCTGCCCCAGGGATCAGAACCTTCACAGATGGGAGGGGGACCATGGGTACTGCAGGCCTAGCCCTTGCTCCCAGACCACTTCCTGAGTGACAGCTGCGGCAGCTGGCGGGAGACGAGGCGCGAGGCAGCTCCTAATTGCTCTGGGCTCCCAGATCCCTGCCTCAGTCTGTTGCCTCTGATGAGACGCTCAACCAACTTGCCTGAGGCGGCTGCTCCCTGAGAAGAGGCCCAGCTCCCATCTGCCCGGGCATTAGCCTAGGGTGATAGGTGGAGGAAAGTCACCTCTCCTTGCCAGGTCCTGGAGCAGGGCGAGGCTGGGACCCTGCAGTCCCCCAGGGCCTGTCCCCCTCCTCTCTGCATCTCTCTGTGTCACATAAAGGGCTTGTGCATAAGCTTCCACTTCAACCAGGAGCTGCGCAGGTGTTGAAATAGACAGACTTTAGGAGTTTGTGGGTAAATGAATATTTATTTCACCTCCAGACACTGTCCCCAGCAGGTTCTTGGGACAATATTGTTCCTCAGCAAGGAGCAGAGGCCATAGATTCTGCCCTCCCTGAATACCCACTTCCCACCACAGGTACCTCCCCTCCTCCTTCTCTCCCAGCAGGACCCGCGGCTCAGGTAGGGCTGTGATCAACAGTCCCAGGATGACCTTGAACTTGGTGCTTACACCGTCTCCACTTTGATTTCCTCCTCTGGACAATGGGGTCATTAAAATATCCAGGTGCTGCCAGGTCAGCTTTGTGGCCTTGCCCGGCACACCCTGCCCCCCAGGGGGCACAAGCATGGCTTCATTAAGGGGTTCATCAAACCCCTGGGAATATCACTGGACCTCTGAGTTTTGGTGCCTCACCTGGGAATAAGGGCACCTGTTTCTCAGGATGATTAAGAGACGAGAGACGCTGAGCCCAGGGCCCAGGACAGCACAAATATTCCGGCGTCGGCTGGCGATGTCATGGACCAGGAGCCTTTAGCACACCTGCCTGGGGCTGAGCGTTCACGCTATGGCCGCCTCCCCATCTCCAGCTGACTGAACCCTTCCTGCTGCCCTGCCCTGCCCTGCCCTGCCCCTGTCCCTCTCTCTTTGTGGAAGCACTTCTAGGGCAGAGATGGAGAGCAGGAGACTGAACGTCTGGAATTCTTTCCCAAGAGGACCAAATGATTGATCTGGCTTCAGTTATCCAGCCCAACCCTGCCCCTTCCCTATGCGTGACCTGCTGTCTTTGCCTGCCACATGTGGCCTGGGTGCAGCCTCTGCACACCTCCAGAGACAGGGAGCTCACCCCTCTGAAGGAAATGGCTAGTATTCATCAAGTCCCTGGGCTCAGGCTTTGTGCTCAAATATCTTTCCTGTTTTGAGACAAAACACTGGGGGCCCCTACAGGGGCACCTGCTCATCAACTGGGAGAGGGACAATACTAACCTGTGATACCGCATCAGAGTGGAACCTCTCTCCACAGTGGGGGACACCCTGTGAGGTTGGCACCCTGAGCCTGTGGCAGCGAGAGGAGCAGGGGAAGGAGAGCAGGGGAAGTGGGGGCCAGACCTTCAGATGACCACCCCCGTCCCTTGTCCCAGGGCTCAGCTGCTGAGAGTAGCCCGACACTGAAAGTCTAGAACATGGAATAGATGAGTTTTGTCCCCAGGGAACATGAGGGAGGCCCAGACTGGAGGCATTGCCAGGGAGAGGCTGGGCTTGGGGAGCCCCTGCGCCCCCTGCCACCAGCAGATCTACAGGGAACTGGGCTCTAATTCTGTGGAGTCCCTGATGTTGGGGACTGGGCTGGAGTGGGGTACGAGGGCCCCGGTGGATGGAGGGACTTCCTCCAGGGCTAAGCTAGGCCCACACCCCTGGCTGGCCCCCCACCCAAGGGTCCGAGGATGGGCCTTGAGGCCTGCAGTGCCCCATCTGTGCCGAGTCTAAGTGATGAAAAATCGACAGCAGTTTAATTGGTGATTTTAGTCCTGGACAGAGCAGTAACAGCGTTACTAATTGGATCGTTAGAGATTTGTGCTTTATGGCTGTGTAATTAGAGGAGCTGCAGGGGTCCGGGTGAGCTAGGGGGCTATGTGGGGCCAGGGGCAGGGAAGAGGGGCGGGGCCCCTTCCCGAGCTACAGCTGGGTCATTGCTAAGACCTCCTGCTCTCCTGCTACTCCTGGGGCAGCTGGGTGAGGGAGGCTTGGCCAGGGGTCTACACACCACTCCTCCTAGACTCAGGGTCCCATCAGGTCAGGAGGAAGAGGGCTATGAGAGCATTTCACACAGGGACAATGATGGTCACTCCCCAGGTCCTCACAGGCCAGGGTGGAGGGGCTCCCCCAGCCTAGTCCTTCCCTGTGTCCTCACACACCTGTCCCCTGGGCTTTCTGGGGCTCACAGGGCTCTGTGCAGCCTGGCCCATGGCCACAGCCTCACCAGTGCCCAAGCCCACACAGGCAGAACCATAGCCCTGTCCCCTGGCACTGGTGGCCCCCAGGGCACTGGGTGACCACAGTGTGTCTTCATTTTAGAATAGGACAGGCTCTTAGGTCCTGTCCTCCAATCATTTCTCAGACGAGGAAACTGAGGCCCAGGAGGGAAGGGGACATCCTGTGTGCTCCACGCTGGTCCTAGATGTGTGTGTGACAGCCCCGTACACCAGTACACGGGTGTTCATTCTACACCCACAGGAGGCAGCACCTGGGCTGACCATCTAGAGTGTGGAGAGCGGCTGAGGTGGCCTGGCCTCCACCCCAGGCTGCAGGGTGGACATTGGAGGTGCCTTCCTAGGGGGTGGGGAGGGCGGAGCATCCCTTGGATTGAGTTCATAAAAGGCTAGACCTGTTCCTGCACTCGGCAAATACCTGCTGGATGAAGGAGTGAGAGGAAGCAAAAAAAGGGGCGGAAGGGAGAGGAGGAGGACAGACAGATGGCAGAGGGCCTCTGTCACATGCTCGGCCCCTGGTCCTCTAGGACCCTCCCACTGACCCTCCAACATCTCCCTTTGGGCCCTTAAGCTACCACCAATCACTCCCCCAAACAGCACGGTCCCTTCCCAGTCCTCCAGTGGCTCCCACCCTATTCCAAGGAAGAGCTGAAGTCAGCAAAGTTGCCCCAGGACCCACAGTGTCTCCCTCCTCCCCTCTCTACTCTCATTTCCTCCCCCAGCTCACCTGCTCTGCTGGCCTCGCCTGGCAGGCGCACTCCCACCCCAGGGCCCTTGCACTTGCTGTGTGCTCTGCCAGGAATGCTCTCCTCCCAAATACAATCACTTTTTCAGGTCCTTCCTTCCTTCCTTCCTTCTTTCCCTTCTCTTTCTTTCTTTCTTTCTTTCTTTTCTTTCTTCTTGCTTTCTTGCTTTCTTTCTCTTTCTCTCTCTCTCTTTCTTTCTTCTTCTCTTTTTTCTTTTTTTCTCTTTTTTTAGAGACAGGGTCTCACTCTGTCACCCAGGCTGGGTGCAGTGACACAATCATAGCTCACTGCAGTCTCCACCTCCTGGGCCTCAGCCTACCGAGTAGCTGGGACTACAGGCATGTGCCACCACACCCGGCTAATTTTAAAAAATTTTTTTGTAGAGACAGAGTCTCGCTATGTTGCTCAGACTGGTCTCCAACTTCTGGCTCAAGCGATCCTCCTGCCTTGACCTCGCTAAGTGCTGGGATTACCGAATGGGAGCCACCATGCCCAGTCTTTACTCAAAATTCACCTTCTCCCTGGGTCTTCTCTGGAGACCCTAGCTTTAAAAATAAACAAGTAAAAGACAAACCTTGCCCTTCTCCTAGTGACACCGCAGACTCCTTCCTTGCCTGGGGCTGGGTTTTGCTCGCTGCTGCGTCCCTGGTTTTGGGGTACACAGAGGATGCTCGTACTTAGTTGTGGGATGGATGAAGAGCTAGGGACTGCCTGCAGGAGCGGCCCTGGTAGGCAGGGCCAGGTGGGGGGCAGGTTTGTGGGTTTGGGGACAGGAGTGGTGGCTGAGACGCCCCTGGCTGTGAACCTTTTTCTTCCGGCTGCCCCAGCTCCCACCTGTCCCCCACCCATCCCCCCGGCAGCAGCTCAGTCAGGAGGCAGCACCCCAGCGACCTACATCAGCACGTTGCATGGCGAAGTGGAGGGGCTGGGGAGATAAAAATCTCTGTCCTCCTGCCAAATGCCACAGAGCCGCACCACCTCAGACCTTCCTGGCTGTCAGTCTGACCTCCACTCCCCTTCAGCCAGGTCACCCTGTGGCCTCCAGCTGCCTCCTTCAGGCTCCTGCCATCTGGGGGATGGGGGTGAGGTTGGGGCCCCAAGAAGACCCCTGTTCCCAGGCAGGTGTCCATGCCTGACATCCCACAGAGGGGGTTGCACCCGAGCCCAGAAATACCCTGCCCAGCTGCCCGGCCCAGCCTCCTCGGCATGGCTAAGTGATGTATGGCCCGCTCGCCCTGCCAGGAAGCAACAGCAGATGGACGGGCAGTGCCTGGGCGGGCTCAGAGCCAGGAGCCTTGAGCAGGGGGTGGGGAGAGGCCTGGCTCTGGAGACAGCCATTCCCGGAATGCCACCTCCCTGACCGAGGGCAGGACAGCAAGTGCGGGATGTTTTGGGCATGGCTCCCATGCTCTGGCCCTTGGCGTAGGGAGTGCAGGGAGCTGGAGGTGGGGGGTTCTTGCCCTGCGTAGTATCTCTCCAGGCCTCAGTTTCCTCATCTGTAAAATGGCGTTGAAGCCCCATTGGGAGGCAGTGGGGGGTACGAACTGAGAGAATGCACTTGAAGCAGAGCCCTGAACCCAGCGCTGCAGGCCTGTCCCTAAATCCCCGCTTCCTCCTCCTGAATCTCCCCACCAGAGCCCTGGCCTCACCTTCCTTTCCCGGTCTTTGGGAGAATCCCACAGCCAGACGTGGAAAGGACCTTGGAAAGTCAGTTTAGCCTCCCTCCGATTTTCCAGATGGGAAAACTGAGGCCTTGAGAGAGGAAGGACCTATCCAAGGTCAGGCGGGAGGGCTGGAGAGGCCCCTCGTGGTAGCTGCTGCAGGAAGCCCCCTCCCCACCATGGGGACATGGTAGCGTGTGGCGGCTGCTTCGGCCACCCAGCAGGTGGGGAAGGACAGGCAGGACAGCGCTGGGCACAGGGAAGAGGGCTGGGGGTGCTGGTGCAGCTGCTGCGGCCAAGTCAGGATGCGCCAGACGCTTCCGTGGGCTCTGTCTGCGTCCAAGGAGACCAGGACACTGGGCGGACGGACGGTGTGTCCTTGCCAGCTGGGCCCGGAGGAAGGATGAGGGAGCAGAGAGAGGGGTCATTCTGGGAACCAGGGCTGCCAGCGGGGCCAGGTGACATCTCCTGCCATCTGCTCACCTGCCCTGCTCCCCAGAGGAACAGGGACCCCATGTGGGCTCTCAGTGTCTGTGGGCATGTGACACTGATGTGCACGAACAGGTCTGGGTGGATGTGGGCTGTTGGTGCAGATGTGTGCATCTGTGGCTGGGTGTCTGGGTGCCAGGGTGGATGTGCACACACAGGGGTCTGACACTCTGAGGACCCGGGGCCAGGGCAGATGCAGGTGGAAACATACATGTGGCAAGTGTGCACACATCACAGGCATCTAATGTGCGGTGTACATGCACGTGTTACAGGTGCTCACTCCACATCCATTAGGCCCTGTGCAAGCTCAGCCTCAGTCAAAAGGAACAGGGGCTGGCCAGGCGTAGTGGCTCACGCCTGTAATCCCAGCACTTTGGGAGGCCGAGGCAGGCAGATCACCTGAGGTCGGGAGTTTGAGACCAGCCTGACCAACATGGAGAAATCCCGTCTACTAAAAATACAAAAATTAGCCGGGCGTGGTGGCACATGCCTGTAATCCCAGCTACTCAGGAGACTGAGGCAGGAGAATCGCTTGAACCTGGGAGGCGGAGGTTTCGGTGAGCCAAGATCGAGCCATTGCACTCCAGCCTGGGCAACAAGAGCGAAACTCTGTCTCAAAGCAAAAAAAAAAAGAACAGGGGCAGCTTCCCATTGCCAGATGGGGAAACTGAGGGCAGCAGCCTGCCCAAGGCAGCCAGGTTCCTGCCCGGTCAATTCAGGAGAATGATGCCTGCCCTGGCCTCCTGACAAGGTGGGGCTCAGACAAAAACATGTCCCACCCTGGTAGGGGGCAGGATTGACCCTGAAGACAGGCTCTGCAGCTGGTTATGGGCTGGGAAAATATCCTGAGGCGTGGGTCATGCTTTGTTCTTGTTCTGAGCAGGGGCAGGACATGGGCTGTGGAATGGCAGGGATGGCAGGGTCTCTGCTCAGGCCCAGTGGCCAGGAGCTTTGCAGAGGGGTGTCCTACCTGGAGGGTCGCCTCTCCAAGCCTCAGTTTCCCCACCTGTAGAATGGAGCCCCTACTTCTCCCGGGCTCCTGCTGGGAAGTGCTGATGGGATCCCAGACACCAAAGCCATGCCGTGAAGCAGAAGTCTGGGGACCAAGGTCATCTCAGGAGCAAGGCGATGGTCCTGACCACAACAGGCCATACCCCGCACAGGCTCCCCTGCCCACCTGCCAGCCTGGGAGGGGAGATGAGCTAGAGGGGATCCAAGGTGGGGAGGCAGGCCTTCTGGTTCAGTTAGTGAAGGGATTTGTCATTTTAATGATGTGATATTTCTTGCCTGGCTCCTGTCCATGGCGGCGCGAAGGGGACAGCTGCCTCCCTGAATGAGGAGTTGCTGGTGCTGGTGGGGGTGTCCTCAGGCTGCTGAGCCTCTACAGGCAGAGGGGGAGGGCGCCTGGACATGGAGGTCCAACGGGCCGAGAGCTCTCACCGAGCATTGCCTCCTGCCCAGCTCTGTTTCTCTGCCCCGCATGACCTTTTGGGTGAATCCTTCCCCAACTCCGAGCCTCAGTTTCTCATCTTTAAAATGGGGCAAATGCGACCACCCCTGGCTTCTGGTACTGACCGCCGTTGGTTCCAGGATTTCACATCCCTGCTCTTCGCTGGCTCTTCCAGTATCCCCTGCACCAGGGCTGATCTGCTTCTGCATTTTTCTTTTCATTTCTTTCTTTCTTTTTTTTCTACTTTTGAGACAGTCTTGCTCTGTCGCCCAGGCTGGAGTGCAATAGCACAATCTTGGCTCACTGCAACCTCTGCCTCCCGGATTCAAGCGAGTCTCCTGTCTCAGCCTCCCAAGTAGCTGGGATTACAGGCGCGTGCTACCACACCCGGCTAATTTTTGTTTTGTTGAAATGGAGTCTCGCTCTTTTGCCCAGGCTGGAGTGCAATGGCGCAATCTCAGCTCACTGCAACCTCCGCCTCCCGGGTTCAAGCGATTCTCCTACCTCAGCCTCCTGAGTAGCTGGGACTACAGGCACATGCCACCATGCCCAACTAATTTTTGTATTTTTAGTAGATGGGGTTTCACTGTGTTGGTCAGGCTGGTCTCGAGCTCCTGCCTACCCTGGCTTCCCAAAGTGTTGGGATTACAGGCGTGAGCCACCATGCCTGGCCGTTTTTGTATTTTTCATAGAAATGAAGGTTTCACCATGTTCGAGCCAGGATGGTCTCGAACTCCTGACTTCAAGTCATCTGCTCGCCTTGGCCTCCCAAATTGTTGGGATTACAGGCATGAGCCACTGTGCCCTGCCTTCTTTTCTTTTTTTGACACAGGGTCTTGCTCTGTCACCCAGCCTGGAGTGTAGTGGGGTGATCATGGCTCACTGCAGACTCAAACTCCTGGGCTCAAGCGATCCTCCTGTCTCAGCCTCCCAAAGTGCTGGGATTACAGGTGCACAGCACCACGCCTTGCCTGCTCCTGAATTTCAGCAGACCTTCAGCATGCCTCCTTCCCTGGCAGCAGCAGGGTCTTTTGGAAATGCCAACCTGGCCCAGCACCCTCCTGCCCTGGGGTGAGCCCAAACTGGCCTTGCTTCACCTCTCAGCCTGCCCTGGCCCTTGCCCCCGTCCCAACCCCACCATCCTGAACTTGTCACTATTGTGTAGACATGCCTTGCCCTTTCTCACATGGAGGCCTTTTTAGAAGCTGCTCGCTTTGTCCTGTGAAGACTCCTTGCCCTGGTCCCTCGAGTCAGCTCAGAGGCTTCCTCTGGCTTGCACAGTCACCCTCTGCTTGCCCTGTGACCATATTTGTCACATGGAGGGTGATGGCTGGTTTCCTAGTCTGTTTTGCTCACTGCTTCATTCTAGCACATAGTAGGCCCTGGTGAATACGTGTTTGTTGAATGACTGAATGAGCATCCGCAGACCTACCCTGCTGACCCTGGTGTGCAGTATCCAGAGTGCAGGAGGCAGCCTCGGCGAGGGTGGCCCAGTGAGTGGCCCATCCATCAGCCTGGCACTGCGCCTGACCAGATGGAGCCGAGCTCCTGGGGAGGGGGAGAGGAGGAAAAGATCCATCACCCAACGGTCGGTCGGCGGGTGTGTGTGCGTGTCGCACCTGCCCCCCGCGGGATCCTCATCCATCATGCTGTCCCTGCGATGCTGGCTGGGGGCCAGCCGGCTCCTCGGGGTGGAACCTTTAGAAAACTGCTGCTCGCTGGTGCACAAGGGAAACTGAGGCCTGGAGAAGGGCTGCAGAGGTTAAAAGTGGGGGCTCAGAGTGATAGCTCTTGTGGGACTCACTTGTGTGACCCGAGTGAGTCTCGGGAGACCACATCCTCATCTGTAAAGACTGGGGATGCAGCAGTGCCCCCCGCCAAGGGAGAGGAGGATGTGCAGAGGTGGGCATTGTGCCTGGCATGCAGACAGGGCTCAGGACAGGCTGGCCTGGCTTGGGGGTGTGACCCTGCCTGGCCCCTGCCTCTTGGACTGACAGGAGGAGGAGGCGGAGGCTTCAAGCGGTGGATTCAGGCGGGACTGCCTGATTGTCTGGGCCGTCATGGGGAAGGAGACTTTGACGGATGCTCCTCCTGGCCAGAGAGGCGTGGGGAGTGGGTGGCTGATTGATGATTGGGCCCGTGGTGATTACAGCTCAGCTGGCCCAACCAGCTGGCCAGGGGGACATCAGGCCCCGTACCCTCTCCCAGCCCCCACACCCATTTGCTGGGAAGTCACCGCCTCCCTCTTCCTCCTTCTCTGCATTTTAATTATAAAAACAAGCCCTTTCCAAGCCATCATTTCACCTGAATTGCACAGCAGCCTGGGAGTGGGATGAGTTTCTCAGGCACTGAGATGCTCGAGATGGGTAAACAGACACTCATTTATTCACTGAGTAGATATGTCCTGGGCACCTACTACGTGCCAGGTGCTGTGCTGGGCATGGTGCTGGGGATGGGGGCCAGACAAGTAGGCTTGGGCCACCAGCTCACCCCGGGCACTCTGGAGGTTACATGTGGCTCAGTCTGAGTTTTGCATCTGCATAGGCCTGCCAGATAAACGCAAATGTTATGGGACATCATCCCTTCTGGTGGCTCGAGCTCCCTGGCATTCTGGGTCCTCACTCTGTGCCAGGCGCTGTGCAAGCACTGTAAGTACATCATCTTACTTACTCATCCAAGGCAGACATCAGTGACCCCGTTTTCTAGCTGAGCAAACTGGAGCACAAAGAGGTGAAGTGTCTTGCTTGGGGCCCCCAGCTGGAGGAGGCAGAGCAGCATCTGCTCCCCAGACTTGGGTTCTTTCCTCCTCACCAGGGAGCACCGAGCCCAGTCCCACATCCCAGGTTCCTCCCCTGCCATGAGGAGGGGAAGGCCAAGACCGGGACCACCACTGCTTAGCCCATACCGAGCCCCGCTGGGCCTCCCACTGCTGAGCCCCCTCAGAGGGTCGTGGGCTGCACCCAGGAAATGTGAGGGGAGGGTCTCCTGTCCCACCCACTCTGAGCGGGGTGGGGCTGGGGGGATTCTTCTCTGAGGTTGAGTTGCTGAATGAGCCAGGCCCATGAGGAGGACAAGGTTCAAGTCCCAGCTCCGAGAAGTCAGTTGGCCTCCCTGAGCCTCAGTTTCCTCCTCTGTCTTACATGGGGATAATGGTAACTCTATGGGGCTCTCATGGGGGTCTCTGGTGATGACTCCAGGTAAGGCCTAAGTGGGAGCTGCTGGCATTCACTGGGCCCTAGTGTGCCTAATGGTCGCGGCCTCCTCTGGGTACTGCTGTGAGGATTAGGGAGAGACCAAGTGTGCCGAGGCCCACTCAGGTCACTGCTGGCGTTCTTTTCATCCTCCCTAGGGCCTGGCCAGAGCAGGCATTCAGAAGACATTGTGGCCCCAACCCCACGCACACAGGATCAGTGCTGGGGTTGGGACGGGGCCCATCAGCCAAGCAGGTGGGTCCAGGAGGAGCTGGGAGGCTTGGAGAGGGGGCTGCGCTTAGCCTGTGCTGCCCTACCCAGTGGAGCTGAGCCGGCTCTAATGAAGTGGGCTAGCTGCAGGCCACATTGATTTCAAGTCTCCGTGGCCACTTCCCAGCTGGTAAATGTCACTGGAGAGTGCAGCCGTGGCACCTGGCATGGGTCCAGTAGTGAGTGGGGGCTGGCAGGCTGCCAGAGGGGCTGGGGATGCCCATGAAATGCTGATACCAGTCCAGGGTCTCCAGAGCCTCCAGACTCTCCCACCAATCCCTGAGGAGGGGCTGTGTCAGGCCAGCTGAAGCTGCCACCCCCCTGGGGACATCTGCAACCACCAGCCCCTCTCCTGCTGTCAATATACAATGGACTGATGCCCGTTGCTGGGAGGGTTGCCCGTTTCTTTACTGGGGGGGCCGTTTAGGGTGGTCTAGAGATGGGCCCAGGGCCCAGGAGTCAAGGCGCAGCCATGTGAGGACCCCTCCTGGCCCACTGCCCTCCCAACCCTGAGCTGTCTCCTTTGATAACTGGCTCAGGACAAGCTAAGAGTAAACAGCCATAACCACACAGCGGCAGGCCTTGTTTAATAAACTCTCACTGCAGCCGGCACTGGCTCAGAACCGGTCCCTGTGATCTCATTCAACCCCACAGCGACCCTGTGGTGGATTCTGAATGCACTCCGTTGTTCAGGAGGGGAATGTGAGGCTGAGAGGCCAAGTTCTTAACTCTGAGCAGCACTGGGGGGCCCGGACACCCCCATCCCCAGTTCACCCACGGTCCTCATGGGACCCCTTCTCTGCCCCAGCTCCCCACCCCCATCTGCCCTGCACCTTTCTCCCCTTCGCCATCTCATGGGATGGTCAGGAGGTGGGGGTTGAGGGGAGGGTGGTGGGGTGGTCAGGAGGTGGTGGGGGAGGGGAGGGGAGGGTGGCGGGGTGGTCAGGAGGTGGTGGGGGAGGGGAGGGGAGGGTGGCGGGGTGGTCAGGAGGTGGGGGGAGGGGAGGGGAGGGTGGCGGGGTGGTCAGGAGGTGGGAGGGGAGGGGAGGGGGGCGAGGTGGTTAGGAGGTGGGAGGGGAGGGGAGGGGAGGGTGGCGGGGTGGTCAGGAGTTCGGGGGTGAGGGGTCCTGGGGAGGCATTCACTCTTCATGTTCCCTCCCCTGCCTTAAACTTCTCTCTTTCTAGAACCTTGATCTTGATCTCCAGGTCTGAGGCCTGAAAACCAAGGTTTGCCCAACCCACCCCCATCCTAGACTCAGCATTTCCCAGGCACTCTCGAGCATCCTAAATTGCATCCATGTGCTCCAGCCTGGACAGGACCGAAGGTGGCTAATACCAGTCCTGTCACCGGAGGGTCAGAAGCAGCACGCTTGGGGCAGACACACAGCAGCCACCAAGTCAGGCTCCCCTGTAACGCTGGGGGAGAGACCTCACGGGGCCCCTGAGCCCAGTGGAGGTCATCCTTGAGTATCCACAGCTCTTGGCCCCCTGGTGTCCCCCTCCCCATACCTTCCCTGCCCTGAGGAGCTCCTGAGGGTGGGGTGTTTCCCTGAGCCCTGCCTTGCAGGGTTCTCCACCCTACACACAGCATGCACTGGACACAGCAGGGAGGGGACTCTGGACTGGGGCTGGGAGCTGCCCCCACCACCTTCTGAGGGGAAGAATCTGCCCCAGCTGGGAGCTGCTCTCCCAACTTGGCATTTCCAGGGGCCCTTCCTACGTGATGTGGGGAGCCCTGGCATCCCCAGCCGCTCTCCCCCTTCCATGGGAAAAGAGGAGGGAGGAGAGGAAAGCCGTATTAATAAAAGAATAGGATACTGCACTAACCCCACAGCATGTGCGGCTCAGAATAGCAATGCGCCTTCTCAAGGCAAACAAAACTCCCCAGGTGTTAATGCAAATTCACTCCAGTTAAGATGAAAGAGGGTTGTTTCCCCCTTTGCTGGTTAATATGAAGGACTTAATAGATTCAGCCTCAGGAACTCAGGAACTCGGGCTGGGTGCGGAAGGCTGGCGAGTGAGGAGGGGGAAGGATGAAGGCGTGGGCAAAGAAGGGAGGTCCCATGGGTTTCGGGGCAGAGCAACTGTCACAGCAGGCCCGGCCGACGCTGCGGCTCCTGCCACCCCCCTCTGCCACCCGGGCTGACAGGCGCTGGGCCTGGTTGCTCAAGAGGAAAACCCAGAGTGGCCATGCCAATCCCCGCCCTGGCGCCTGCTGCCTTTCACTTGAGCTCGGGGGCTGGCAGCATGGTGGCCCCTCCCGAATTTGTGCCAGAGGATAGTGGGTCCAAGAGAAAGGAGGGATGTGGTGGGAGCTCTAACACAGGCCCCAGGCTGGGGTCCCTGCAGGGCACCTGGTTCCACTCCGGCTCCCGGCCATGGCTGTAGCCATAGCCACTCCTGCGGTATCCTGGGCCAGTCACTCCCATTTTGGCTCCTTGGAAGGTGAAGCTGGCTTGACATGGCCTTGGAGGACCTCGGGGGACCAGTCTGTGGAGTTGGAACCTAAGGGGGCCTCGAGTTCTGCTGGTCCAAACCTGACCTTCTATAGCCAAGGCATGGAAGCCCAGAGAGTGGAAGGGACTTACTCAAGGCCACACAGCAACAGGCGGAGAGCTGCAGGGGATCAGAGCCCACAGCCAGCTGGCCTGAAGCGCAGGCTGGACCATTGAGCTGCCTTCTGCTGGGACAGACAGGGCCCTGTCCTCCCAGAGTGGAGCTCCTCTCCAGCCCCGGGCTCCAGGCTAATCTGCTCATCCCAGAGCACTTGACTTTCTCAGATATATTCCCTGGGAATTATCCTCTGCTGAAAATCCCCAGGGCCCAAGGAGGGCCCCTGCTGGGGAGGATGGAGACACCATGCGCAGCTTGCCACAGCAGGGGTGTGCCAGGGTTCCTGGGGAGGCGCTGCCTGGCTCAGCTGGGGATAAAGGGAGACTTCAGAGATCCGGGGAGGGCCGGCCTGAGGCTGGGCTGTCCCTGTCGGTCCACTCCACTCCTCCAAATTTAACTCCTCTCTCTCTCTCTCAGGGTAAATGGCACAGCAGGTGCCTGCCTGGGACACCTCAGCAGCCTTCTTTGCTTTGTTTACCGACTTAATTCCTTCAGATCAAAGGCTGCCCCTTCCTCCCTGAGCAGGCAGATGGGGAATGACATTATTTATATCAGAAATGGGCAAGGCTCCATGGGACTTCTTCCTTATGCCTGATAAGAGAAAATTAGGTCACTCCCGTGCCTCCCTGGCGTCTGCAGTTGGGTTTTTACAGCCCAGGTACTCACAGGCTCAGGGAAGAGCTCATGTGCACAGTGTGGCCCACCTGGTTCTCTCCCACCCTGAGCCTCCAGTCAATTATTGACCTGAGCAGCCAGTATTAATGGGACAAAATGAGAACATCCTTCGCAGGCAGCTCCAGCCCGGAGTTATCTATCATTTCCCGGGCTTTGCAGCTGGCACTGGGCAAACATGGGCTTGGACAAACAGACCAGCTGCAGGCTCATTAAGCTCAGGGTGCAGGTGGAGGGGATGGAGGCCACAGGGGAGCCGTGAGTGGGCCTGATCCCTCTGAGCTGTGACATCCCCTGAGTCACTATGGCTCTTTCCTTTGCTTCCTCTTGCCCTCTGCCCCCAAAAGAAGTATCAGAAAAAAAGCCACCGTGTACCAAGTGGTGACTCACATCTAGGCAAGGTGCTTAGAGCTTTCTGGGCATTCGTAATCCCCACAAAACCCTATAAAATTCCCATTTTACAGGTGAAGAAAACTGCAGTGCCCAATAGACTGGACAATTTACGTAGGCTCACATGGCTGGTCAGTGGCCTAGCAGGAACGCAGGTTTGTCTGTGTTCTGAGGCAGGGAGGGCTCTTAGCCTCTCAGCTGTGCCGTTTCCCCAGCTCCCCCTGCAGCTAATGGTAGAGATTTCACCTTTCTTCAGGCCAGCTGCGTCTATTACTTGTAAGTTACGGTAACACTGCGACAGGTCCACACCCCTTTTCTTAGAAACCTGAGTGCATTTTGTTCCTGTTTTTCACGTTATCCTGACAACATCCCCCGGGTACCCAGAGGCCTCACTGTCAACTGTCTTCACAGGGGGTGGAAGGTCTGGCCCTTGTGGGGAAGGAAGAGCCAGGTGCCCTCCACCTCTCTGCCCTGGGCAAGTGTGGCTTAGGGGAGGGGCGAGATGCCTCTGGCTGCTCCCACTGCGGAGCCCTTCAAGAGAAGTCTTGATTTCAGCTCAGAGGCAAAATGCCAGGTGCTATTCTGGGGCCAAGTTGGTGAGAAATGGGCATCAAGTGGAAACCAGGAGAGGACACGGCGGGGGTTCCTCTCCGAGTCAGCTCGAGTCCTTGCTGGGCAGATTAACGGCCCTGTAATTTTCCCCAGGTGCTCCCATCACGGCGCAGAGGTCCAGAGCCATCTCTCTGGAAGCGAGCTGCGGTCTCCCTACCGGAGCTGGGGCTGTGGCTAGGATCCTGCCATAATGCAGTAATGACAGGCTGCCAGGGAGCCCCACACGGCCTGGCAGGGGAGGGGGAGAGGAGCCCTTGGCCTCCCTCTCTCTGCTGGAGATGACGCTGCCTGGGCTGTCTGAAAGGGAGACGGAGAACATGCGGGTGCCCGACTTTCTCTTCCCCAGACGGCTAAGAAATTGGACTAGATACAGTCACAGCAGTCTTCTCGCCAATACCTTTCCCCCCAGAGTTTCACTGCCAACTCTTCATTATATGTGGGTGGCTCCTTATCCTCTCTGCCACACGAAGGCTTCTGGGGTAGGCAGCCCTGGGGAACAGCTGTCAGGAACTCCCCACTCAGGCGAGGACCAAAGGCAAAGAATGAAGTGCTAGCAGGGAGGCCAGAATGAGCCACTTGGGGCTCCGATGGGACTGGCGGCAAATGCCACAGTGAAGCACTGAGGTCTGGCCCCCCCGCTTTGCATTTACAGCAGGGTCACTACAGACTAGAAAAAACAGCAAAGAATTCAACTGATCTCCTCGATACCAAAATACCATTAGAATCAGTCATTGGAACTCTGGTATTAGTAATTCTAACTCTACTTAGCGGGGACCTCTGACCTCAGGTCCCATTTACTATTTTGGTGGGGGTGGGGGGGCGTCGGGTTGTCTTTAATAGAAAGGTTAGGTAAAAATATTGCCTGGACGGCTTTAAATGACCAATATTTTTCAAAGTGCTTTCTTTGGCTTAGACTACGGAGGAAATCAAACTGCTTCCAATTACTAAAAATAACAATCTACATTTGCAAAATGAGTTTATATTATTCATCTAATAAAAAGTCTAATTAGTTACCTTTTTTTTTTGAGATGGTCTCACTCTGTCACTTTTTTTTTTTTTTGAGACAGTCTCGCTGTTACCCAGGCTGGAGGGTAGTGGCATGATCTTGACTCACTACAGCCTCACACTCCCAGGTTTAAGTGATCTTCCCACCTCAGCCTCCCAAAAAGCTGGGCCTATAGGTGCAGCCACACCTGGCTAATTTTTAAATTTTTTTGTAGACACGGGGTCTCTCTATGTGGCCCAGGTTGACCAATTCTATATATTCAAAGCTAACAACAAATTGTTAAAACTTTTCATATTCTTGCCGGACACGGTGGCTCACGCCTGTAATCCCAGCACTTTGGGAGGCCGAGGCGGGCAGATTGCTTGAGGTCAGGAGTTCGAGACCAGCCTGGCCAACATGGTGAAACCCCGTCTCTACTAAAAATACAAAAAAATTAGCTTGGCATGGTGGCAGGTGCCTGTAATCCCAGCTACTCAGGACGCTGAGGCAGCAGAATCACTTGAACCGGGGAGGCAGAGGTTGCAGTGACCTGAGATCAGGCCACTGCACTCCAGCCTGGGTGACACAGTGAGACTCTGTCTCAAAAAAAAAAGAAAAAAGAAAAAACTTTTCATATTCTTTAGTTTATCCACTTCAAACATCTTTCTAAAAAAAAAAACAAACACAAGTTATGTATAACTCAAAACATTTTGGAAAGACGTTGTGTATTTTGATAGGCTGTTTTCCTCACTGGCTTGTGCAATGGAAACCTGAAGTATGTCCTGACAAGTGTGTCGAGTGGGTCCCTTAGAAGTCCCGGCAGCCACACTGTGCTGTCTGACTCTCCAACTGGGGCTGCAGTGCTTCGGGACAGAGTTATCCTATAGAAGTTTTGGTCTTAATAAAGGACTTTTGTTGCTTAAGAAAACAGAAGCAAAACCCAAACTATAAGCTCTGCAGTGGTGATTTCCAACTTCAAGTGCAAATGTCACATAGCCCTGACAGTGGCTGCGCCTCATTTACTCTGCAGACAGCGCCTGGGCCCCAGGGGCTCTGCATGCACCCCCAGAGCCTGGAACGCCGAAAACAGAAATGTCTGGAAGGATCACCCAGCCCAGCTCCCTAGTTCTCTGGTCTGAAATCACGGATGGGCAGGGACCACAGAGAGGAAATGGAGTGCTGGGACGCCATGCAGGGCCCTTGCCACCCCCCAAGTGCCCCAGGAAGAGGGAGGCAGTTCCCTGGCGAAGGTGTCATTAGAGGTCTGTGGAAGGAGGTGATTCTTTTGCCACCAAAGACAAGGGGCCAGAGGTGAAGGCCCAAGCAGTGAGAGACAGCAGAGGGCTCGTTTCTCCACAGAACCACAAGACAGCCCCACCACCCAGCCGTGTTCTTGACGCCTCAATGGCCTGAGCAACAGGCAAACTGAGGAAGCCCAAGGCAAGTATTTTCCAGCTTAGAATTTTTATTAAAACAATCATTTAAGTTATAATCGTTCCCCAGAATAGAAAATAGCCTTCTATGATCTGGCCCTGATAGGAGGCAGGACTCGGGCCCTACAGGAAGAAGTGACGTTTGACATCTTTGAAAATGGATGGCGCTTCCCTGAAAGCCCTGGAGGGGCTGGCTTGGGCCCAGGGTCACTGGGCCAGGCTGTCTCCCTGCCAACGCTGCTCCCTCCAGGGGTGGTGAGGCCCCACCCTGTCAGTGAGGAACACTTAGACACTGCAGCTGGTTGTCAGTCTCTGGGCTTTTGACAAAAAAAAGAGAGGGAAAGAGAGAAACCTGTCCCCAAAATTACAAGACACAGCCACTCATGAAGTGTTATGTAATGCCACGGGGTGCTATCTAGCAGGGCCTGGCAGGTACATGAATAATAGGGTGGACAACACAGGTTGGGGGGACTGCTGTGGCTGAGGTGGGGCCTTGATCAGGATGAACGAAGCCATCTGTGCCACACAGCTGCACACGGCTACTGGCCAAAAGGACAGCCTCACGGACATCATGAGCTGGGCAGTGACCTCATGAATGGTCCCGGTGCTGTGGGGCTTCTGCCTGAGAGCCAGCAGAAGGGCTCGTAATGAAACCACCATGGTCAGGACGCTGCTCTTTGGGCTTGAGACTTCCTTACTTGACAAACTCCCAGGCCCTAAAATGTTCGCTTAAAAAGGACGCAGTCTGGCCAAGCGCGGTGGCTCATGCCTGTAATCCCAGCACTTTGGGAGGCCGAGGTGGGCAGATCACCTGAGGTCGGGAGTTCGAGACCAGCCTGACCGACATGGAGAAACCCCGTCTCCACTAAAAATACAAAATTAGCCGGACGTGGAGGTGCGTGCCTGTAATCCCAGCTACTCGGGAGGCTGAGGCAGGAGAATTGCTTGAATCCGGGAGGCGGAGGTTGCGGTGAGCCGAGATCACGCCATTGCACTCCAGCCTGGGCGACAAAGGCAAAAACTCCGTCTCAAAAAAAAAAAAAAAAGGATGCAGTCATCCCAGCCACAGGAACCAGTCTGTGAAAACCAGGCATCTCTTTCTTTCTTTCTCCTGCTACTGGGGCTTGAGATGCTCCTGAGGCCCATCCTCCTCTCCACCTTCTCCATCTGTGGGGAGGCACCTCAGTATTCCTGCCTCAAGGAGGGGGAAGTGCTCCTGGCTGAGCAAGGTCCTGCAGTTCCCAGCCTGCTCCCTGGAGCCCCAGGTGCTTCTGCCACAGCTCAAACACCAGCCAGCTCCCTTGAGGCCGCGTGGCTTGGCACTTCCCAGACTTCAGAAGTAGACACGGCAGCTAAAGAAGGAAACAAAGCCCGACAGCGTTTTTATAAACCACCATATGCTCCCACCTGCAGCCATTGTTAAAGAACAAATTTACAGGTCAGGAGGAAAGTAACTCCTGGTGGAAATCCAGGGATGGGCTTCAAGACTGAGAAGAGACCGGGCATGGTGGCTCACGCCTATAATCCCAGAACTTTGGGAAGCCGGGGTGGGAGGATCACCTGAGGTCAGGAGTTCGAGACCAGTCTGGCTAACATGGCGAAACCCCATCTCTACTAAAAATACAAAAATTAGCCAGGCATGGTGGCACACGCCTGTAGTCCCAGCTACTCGGGAGGCTGAGGCAGGAGAATCTCTTGTACCTGGGAGGCGGAGGTTGCAGTGAGCTGAGATCGTGACACTGCACTCCAGCCTGGGCGACAGAGCGAGACTCCATCTCAAAAAAAAAACAGAAACAGAAACAGAAAAAAAAAAAAAACGGAGGAGGCAGAGCCAGACCTCACTTTACAAACGCCTGAAGCTTCCGCTCCTGGCTGGGTCACACTAGGAAGACACAGGGCCACAACATCCATACTTACGCTCTAGGTCTGGAGTCCCACCCTGTAGACCCTAAGTGGCTGGGTGGCACCCAGGGCTGGTTTCCTTGGGGCAAGGTGACCCAAGCAGTTGCCGAGCAGCCCAACCCCATTAGGTCAGCCTGATAGTAGGAAGAAGGCAGGATCTCTGTGCTCTGTGAGCTGCTAAGTTTCTCAAAACCAGATGGAATTGCCAGAGACCACCTCTGCTCTCCAAAAATCTTGAGGCCCCCATAGCCTCTATCTTTTATCTGATTAAGACAAATCACCTGCTTTGCATAACAGCCAAACTGGAAGGATCTCAAGGGCCCTGGCTGGCCACAGCAGCATCAGCCATGGAGAAAAGAAAGGGCAAGAAGGGGCTGGGTGCAGTGGCTCATGCCTGTAATCCCAGGTGTGAGTTTGAGACCAGCCTAGCTAACATGGCAAAACCCCGTCCCTATTAAAAATACAGAACATTGGCCAAGTGTGGTGGTGCATGCCTGTAGTCCCAGCTACTTGGGAGGCTGAGGCAGGAGAATTGCTTGAACTCAGGAGGTGGAGGTTGCAGTGAGCCGAGATTGTGCCACCACACTCCCACCTGGGTGACAGAGAGAGACTCCATCTCGGAAAAAAAAAAAAAAAAAAAAAAAGAAAGGGCAAGAAGGTGGCCCCAGACCAAGGAGTGAGCCGTGGGGGTGGTTCTGTGGCCCTCTGTTGCCTGGCATGGAGGTGGGTCCTGTGACAGCCTAGGTGAGCGCCACCTGTGAGTGGACACCTGCATCAGGCCTGTGCTGGGAGGGGCACAAAGGGCCCTGGCTGGCCCCCAGGGAACAGAAAATTCAGGGCCCGAAGAGGGACAAGGGCAACAGCAAAGTGAGGCCTGGGTACAACAGTGGGTTGGGAAGTGGGCTGTGGCCACTGGCACGTGGCTGGGAGGGAAGGTGAAGCAGATGGGCCGTGCAGACTGGGCCGGTGGAGCTCAGAGTCTGGGCCAGTGAGAAGCAGCACCTGTGGAGCCACAGGGCTTACAGATCCCTGGTCATAGCCGGGTTACGGGTGCTGACTGCAGTACGACCAGGGAGTACCCCAGCCCCACACAGGAAGGAGCGTCTATGGGCGTCGGGCAATGGGGAAGACATGAGTGGCTCCTGCCTGCCTCTCGGACCCTGGTCTAGGGTGGCCGGAGGGGGACAGCGAGTGCCCTGTACCATCAGCTCCCGCACGGCACTACCCAGCCCCTCGGCTGGCAGTCAGCCTGCATCACAGCTTCTGCCTAAAGTCTCTCCCCAGCCACAGCTGCCCTGCCTATTCCCCACCAGCTGCCAGCCAGAGCGCCGCCTCGGGGTGCCTGGCGGGGACCCAGCACTTGCTCGTCACGAGCTCTGGGCGGGCTCCCTGACGATGAGAAGCCGGCAGGCGTGCTGGCCTGGGATCCGCCGGGCTGGGCTGCTTCGCTGCATGCCAGGTCCTCACCGGTGGGGGAATGAATGTTCCGGAACCCTGGGCGGGGTGGGGATGATGGCACTGGCTTCTCAGGGCTTCAGTGTCTCACTCCCTACAATGACTTCCCAGGCTGGGCGGTGGAGGTCAGCTCTGGAGTGCAAGACACACACACACCGGTGCCTTGGACGAAGGGAGTCAGGAATCCCACATTAGACAAAGGAAGACAAATACTTCTTAAAACAAAGACTCAGGTCAGAGAACTAGAACGCCATGAGAGAAATCTCTACAGGGTCGTAGTTCAAGGCAATTGCACATAAGAGGGGCTGGGCTCTTCACTCAGCTGGGGAAAGTTCTGGAGCTCCCACGGAAACCCCCAGCCAGCTCCCTATGGATGGCTCTCTTGATATCTGGTCCATCCCGCGGTCCCGGTAGCAGGAGAAGTGGCAGGTCCTGGGGTGGCTGGGTCACCTGCTAGAGCTCTTCAAAGAAGGCCACTCGGGACTTGGCGCTCTGCAAGGTGAGCTGTAAGAAAGCAGAGAAGAAGCTGAGAGGGCACAAGACCTCCGCTCTGTCACACAGGGTCCTGTCCTGCCACTTGGACTCACCTCAAAGGTGGCTGGGAGCGAAAGGGAAGGCTGTTCAAATAGATGCTCAAGAAGTTGGCTGTCAGTCCCAAATAAGCGGCCAGATTTGCCCAATAATTCAAATTAGGAGGTGACAAATGAGGATGTGCAAGGGGAAGGCTGGTGGGCAGAGGCACGCCAGCAGGAAAAAGCCGTCAGCATTGCCTCTTGACAGAGGACCGGAGATCCCTGCCTATTTTAATAGATTCTCACATTCCCATCTACCAAGGTCCCTGAGCCACCTCTGTGGTGTGCTGTCTGTGGCGGCACCAGCTGAGGCTGCTCATCCCCTCCGGGCTTGGCAGGGCAAGCATCTTAGTCCTCATGCCCTGGCAACATGGCTGGGGTAAGGTGACGTGGCCTGAGGCAAGGCAGGCCTGTGGCAGATGAGGAAGAGTTTACCCCTTCTACTCCTGGTTTCCCAGGTGGTCCCGAAGCAAACTTGCTCATGACGTGGCAGCTGAGAAGGTGTTTCTCTCCATGAGCTGGAGGCAACGGCTTTCTCAGTGTGGCTTGTGCAGGCAGGGAGGGCTGGTGCACACAGGTGGCACTCTGCCCAGCAAATGTAAAGAAGGACAGTCAGGGAGATGTGGAAGGGGATGGGGTGGATCAGGGACCGAGCTCTTGGCATAGTGAGGTTTGCAACCTCCTAAGCCCTTGACTCTGGGCCACTTCCCAGCATCTCCCTGGATAGAAGCATCTGGAGCCAGCACTCTCCCTACTCCCTGCTCTCTGCTGACTCCTGAAATCAATGCCTTGGGTGTGACTGTGTTCCATTTCCAGCTCCGGGACTTCCCACAGGAGTGCGGGGGTGGAGGGGAGGGAGTCTGTACCATTCATCTTCATATCCCCCAAATATCTGGCTTAGTGTTATGTGCCGATCAGGAGCTCAATGTTTGTTAAGCGACCAGGACGTGGGCTATGAAGATAACTAAACTGAGGTTCGCGGGAGAGGCAAGAGCTCCACACCCGGCTGAGAAGGTCCGAGAGCTCACTCTCTGCCATCAGCAGCTCACTGCAGACACCCCTGACCTCTCTGAGCCTCTTTCCTCTGGAGGTTGCCATGGGGCAGGCAAGATGGTCTGGCCCATTCTCTGGACCCCTCGAGTCTGCATGTGAAGAGTCCTCGGTACTATCGGCGGCTCCATAAAGGGCAGGGGAGGGAGACTCCAAACCCACCACTTCACCATCAGAAGACAGACAGCATTAGTGTGCTCAGAATGAGACAGCTTGAGAGCAACTCTTTAAATCCTGCCAAATCTTTTGGCCTTGAAGTTCCCGACTAACAAGCGGAATGTGGGGAGGCAGCTCAGCTGCCTTCTTCAGTGGAACCAATTTCAGAGCCCTTTGGAAAGCCCGGTTCTGATGGGAATGGAGAGCGCTTTTTTGCCTAAATGGAACTCCCTCTAGAAGGGAGCTGCATCAGGATGGGCTTCTCCCTAAATGTAATCAGAGGAGAAGGGCCAGGAGTTATGTGCCCTGTGATGATGGGAACCAGAATGGTCACTGGGGAAGAAAGGAGGAAGAGATTTAGCTGCCAGATAACTACTGGGGCAAAAATGAGAGAGGGTTTAAATGAAAGCATGTGAGCCCAGTATCTCCGCTCAGGTTTCTGAAAAGAACAGCCACTTTGAGTCAGATACAGGCACAGTCAGCTGCCTGGTGCAAGGCCCAGCTGGGCCACTGACCAGCTGTGTGGCCCTGGGCAGGTCACTTGCTCCCCTCTAGCCTCAGTTCCTCACTGTGAAGCGGGCGTGATGGCAGCCCCTTCCTCGTGGGGTGACAGGCAGAGGAATTGGGAACCGCGTGTGATGCACTCAACACTGCACCTGGCGCATGGTGGGAACTCGGCAGCTGTTATTGCTAATAGCAACATCACGTTTCTCCCCTCCCTGGGGAGGGAGGAGCCCTGGCCCCTCTCCTTCCAGTGGGGAGCAGGGTGCTCGTTAGGAAGGGGTGCAGGCAACAACAAGGTCACGTATGGCACTGGCCTCCATGCCTACCAGGCGGGCCAAGTGATGCCCCTATGAAGCCTGGCCACTTCCCCAGGCAGGGAGCCCAGGCTGTGGGGGCCTTGAGAGGCTCCTGCCCATTTGTGCAATGTTGGCTCCAAGAATTCCTGGATCCTCCACCCGAGGAGCATGCTGGCTGTCCCCTCGAGGTGCTAGGGGAGGGTTCTGGCACTGCCAGCAGCACCAGATTCCAGTGACTCGAGCATGTGCTTATTAGGATGCAGAGTGCTCTGGGGTGGGTGGGGTGCTTCCTGAGCCCCACCTGAGCTGCACTGCAGCGCCTCAGCCCCACCTCTTATCTTGCAAGAGCAGGAGCTTCGCCTCAGCCACAAGTAAAGGTAGAGAGGGAAATCAGTCTGCCCACACAGAAGTAGGAAGGCACCACAGCCACTGGGCAGGAGAGAGAGCCACAGTCCTCCAGAAGGCACTGAGGCGGTCAGAGGGGAAGGCAGACCCACCAGCTGGAGGCAGCCACGACCTGGCTGCACTGGTCAGCAAGGGCTGCTGCCCGAGGGCCCTGGGAGCCTTCGGCCACTGCTGCTCGCCCCTTAGACAGACCTGGCTGCTGCCGCCCCATCCTTTACCCTCATTGTGCAATTCCTATGGGTTCCAATCCCCACAGGAGCCCCGGAGTCAGAATTTACTGCACAATGCTCCTCCCTGCTGCTGGAGGCCACCCCCATGGCTCTGCTTCCACCTTGGGGGTATCCTTTATCTCAGACACCACAATGCCCTCCTCCCAGCAGGTGAAGAAGGCAGGCAGTGAGACGAGGAGAGCCCTTGAGCTTCTTTCCTGCAGGTAGCAGCTCAGTGGAGCCATTTGCCCTCAGGCAGTTTTTCTACAGAGAGCTTGGGAAGCCACCCCGCGGAGCATGCAAACAGCTCTGCCACCTGCACGCCCTGCCTGGGCACTGTCTCGCCCCTCCAGTGGGCAGGCTCCTCACCTGTGGATCTTTCACCATCTGCTGCTTCTAGAAAGCTCACTGGCTGTTACATTTACAGTACACCCATAGGCAGGAAGTATTCATAAAGGAAAAGGCAAAAGCTCAGAAGAAATGGCAAAAAGCTAGCCCTTCATAAAATAAACTCTGCCTCCGAGTCTTCTTTTTAAACACATGAAAACCAGCTAACAAGTTTCCTGGTTCCCCTGCGATGCTCTCATACCCTAAGGTGTGCAGGCCCATCAGTGTTAGGTACATCTTCCTGCTCAGCAACCGGCCTGGGTCCCTCTACACTGCCCAGCAACACCTGCTTGCTAGAGCCAGAAGAGGCCTCCCAAGAAGGCCTTCACCTTGTCCTATGTTGCACTGTGAGTTGAGCACTGAAGCCACTCTGGTGAGTCCCATTCCCACCCTGAATTCCAAACAAAAATGTCCATGCTCCCTTTGGCAATCCAGCAACAGCCCTCCCCTTGCCCAACCTTGCCTGCCTGGGGAGTGGAGTCCCCCCAGGAGGGCGGGGAATTCCTCGCATGCACAATGAGTATCTTGAAGGTTATCCAGGAAGAAGAGGTCTCCAAATTTCAGCAGGTAATGAAGCAGAAGCACCTCAGGGTGTACAACCAGGGTCTCGAGGACAGTGGCTGCACCAGTCTGGGACTTGCCAAGTCTGGTCAACTGCCTTTGAATCCTTCTGAAGACAAGTGAGCCAAGCTCTGGTGAACCTGACCAGTGACGTCTGTCATGCACTGTCCTTCAAAACTTTCACTGAATCTAGACAAGGTCCAACCATGGGAGTCCCGCAGCCAGGCCCAGTTCCTTGGGCAGGCTATAAACCCAAGGGCCCTGCTCAGAGTCTCCAACCCAAAGCGCTCCTGCCAGTTCCCTGAAGATGCCTACAAGAACATGAAGCCTCCGCACCAGGCATGGGCTGACCCGCTGCTCTCCTCCAGCTGTCTCTTCACATCTGATTAGAATCAGCCGTGTGAATAACACAGGAGGAATTAAGTTCTCTCTCGACTGAACCGGCTGCTCAAGTCTGTCACTAATCCAATTCCATTCTGAGGAGACGAACTTCCTTTTCTTTCTCTGGGGCAGATCTATGAGGCTTTATTGCTATCTGACTGTTCATCTTCACATCCCCCCTCTGATCCACTTGTTGGGTCCTGGCTTTTACTTCCTGCCCAACATCGAGACTCAGCCCCGGCAGGGTCCCTTTTCCCCTGCCCACTTGTCCATAAAACTGCCAGCTGTTTGTGACAGCCAGCAGGCTGTGAGACGGCAGGGGAGAACTTAGGAGAGTTCCATTCTGGCAGAGCTGGGCCTCCTTACGCTCCCCAAATTGTGTGTGGTGTGACAAAAACAGACACATCCACCCAATCTAAACAAGTTCAGATTCAGGAGACACATCTGTCTACTTAAAAAGACAGAAGAGGCTGGCTAAAAGAACCTGGTACCCAGCCGGCACTCTCTAACCCAGGCATGCAATCTGCATCTTCAACTGTTCCTCCTCACTGCTACCTGAGGATTTTGGGTGGCCCATTAGGGTACTTCTGAGAAATGGCCCCAGGGTCTGGAGAAAGCAAGCCTGGAAGGCACCTGTGACAAACATTCTCCTGCTGCCCTGCCAGCAGCAGACGGCTTCCAGCTACAAAGCCTCCGCCAGCATCGTTCCTGAGTGCCCCCTGCTGGAAAACCACAGCATGAGGCGCACGGCCAACTCTCCTTCCAGCTCTCCTCTAAAAGCCCTTTTGGGGGATCGTTTCCCAAAGTGATGGGAGGGTAACTAAATGTATTCCGGCACGGAGCCTGCAGCAGCAAGGCTGCTTGATTAAGAATGAATTACACTTTCATCAGCACAGACAGAAAATTGATTCACAAGGCTGCATTGTGATCATCTTGTTCCTAAAGCAAGGGAAGGTTGGGGGAGACACAGAGCTACTTTGGCTATCAGTGGTGAGAGAAAGGAAGCTGTACAATTAAGCTGGGGAACAAAACTAATCAGAGCACCAGGATTCCTTCAACTAGTCTCTGGGGGCCTTGCCTCAATCCACTCATCCCAGGGGAGGAGAAAAGAAGGTAGGAGGGGACCATCTCATTCATTTTAAACAATAAGACTCACAGTACTGAACCCATTTTAGATACTAACCTAATAACTCCAGGCGCTGGGTCTCTGCTTGTCCCATAAAAATGCAGTGGAATTGAAATGTGAGCCCTAAAATCATGTTACACTTCCTCTCCACTACTACATATTGAAAACGAAGGAGCGGGGGAGGGTGTAGACACAAAAGGACGTGCAGATCCTCTGGCACCGGATCCACAGGGAGAAAGCAGACTCAGAGCAGAAAGGTGACAGCTGAATCCAGCAGCAGCAAATTCCAAAAGAATCTTTGGTTTGGGGTGTGGGAAACCTTCCCCCTTCCAAATAAGCAAAGAGGAAGGGCCAGTAAAGGGGGATGGCTGTACTAAGTGGCCAGATCAAGCTTTTCTTTACTTTCTCTTTTTTTTTTTTTTTTTTTTTTTGAGACGGAGTCTCACTCCGTTGCCAGGCTGAACTGCAGTGGCGCGATCTCCGCTCACTGCAGCCTCTGCCTCCTGGGTTTAAGTGATTCTCCTGCCTCAGCCTCCTGAGTAGCTGGAACTACAGGCGCATGCCACCACGCCCAGCTAATTTTTGTATTTTTAGTAGAGACAGGGTTTCACCATGTTGGCCAGGATGGTCTCAATCTCTTGACTTCGTGATCCGCCTGCCTCGGCCTCCCAAAGTGCTGGGATTACAGGCATAAGCCACCGCGTCCGGCCCAGATCAAGCTTTTCTGCAGTCTGGCTAGGGACAGCTGCACCCAAATGCCATATGGTGATGTGCACAGTGGGAGCACTATCCACACACTTATCCTACACAGAGGTGGAACGAAAGGCCAAGTCCACCCCAATGAACAAATCCAATTTGTTATTAGCGACTTTATCTGCTCTCAAGAGAAATCTGCCACTGAATACCCAAGGGGCCCTTTTTGTGTATTAATCCCTGAGGGACCCAAAGCAGCAAAAGCTGCCTGAAAACCTGTCTACCTGCTTTGCAGGCTGCCCTGTGGCACTGGCCGGCGGGGCCCTCCGCTGCTCCTCTGTTCCTTCCCCTGACAAATGGCCTAATGGGCCTGATTCACCTCACTGGGCAGGTGGCGGCTATCTACTGAGTGGTCTGAGCAAGAGCCTTAGGAAAAAGGTCCAGATAGACTGATGTCATTTTAAAATTGCCAACATCAAAAGAGAAATCACAGCAAGGATCATGAGAACAGAACCTCGGGCTCGCAGAACGAGTTTGCATCTGGCTCTTCCCTCCCACTGTTGCAGCAACGAATCCGGTGCCGAGGAGAGCTGCACTGAAACACATCTTCAGTGCCGAGGGGCCGAACAGGGTGTTTTACTGCCTCAAATAAGGCCTGGTAATATCCTCAGGCATCTCCAAATGGTGGTAAAGTACCTAGGCAGGCAAGGCAGGTTTGTAGGCTCTTCAACACCTCCCAAAGAACAACTGCTTGACCAGGTAAAGTCTCTTAACCAAAAACAGGATTGGCTTGTTGACTTTTAGAAGAGGCCGATACAGTCTTCTATCTAGAGCTACCAGAAACAAGCAAGAAAACTAAGCTCT
Source organism: Homo sapiens (assembly GCF_000001405.40). Taxonomy (NCBI): domain Eukaryota; kingdom Metazoa; phylum Chordata; class Mammalia; order Primates; family Hominidae; genus Homo; species Homo sapiens. The sequence goes on along the minus strand of NC_000022.11, from coordinate 29,688,051 downwards.
CAACAGTTACGAGACACCAGGAACTCAGTGTGTGAGAGTGGTAGGAGTGGCCTTCAGGGATGAGCCCAAGGTGTCCCATCCGGGAGGAGCACTAAGAGCAGCCTGCAGTTCCTAATGCCTTCCCTGGGCTTCCACAGAGCCAGGAGGCGGAGAGGAAGAGTTCAGATCGCCACTGCAATTTCTTCCCAGTGTGCTATGCCCACATCTGGTGCTGCTACTGCTCCCTGTTAATCCTTGCTCCCCACCCCACTCCCCACTCCTTTTTCTTTCCTTCCCCCTCTCACCCCTGCCTTGCTCTAGCAGGGAAGGTTCAGGGCTGGGGAGCCAGTATGCTACCTTTTATGTCAAGGCCAAGATGCTCTACCATACAACGCCCAGTTCCTAAAGCAAGCAGAGCCATTCAGCCCACTGGGGTCATAAGGAGGGTTGGCTATATTAACTACCTATTAAACTTAAGTAATTTAGGAGCCATCTTCAGGGCTGGCAATGCAGACCAGAGGTCGCCAGGGAGGCTCTGGCCACTTGTTTTAATTGTGGGAGACACCTTTCCCGCATATGCAATCTCTCTCTGTGATTTATCACTTCCCCGGGTGTTTTTTTAACTGTTCTACTTCACTTCACTGGCTCTGCAACTCCAAGGGGAGCCTGCACAAATTGAAGATGACATTGGACTTTTATGTCTTCCTGATCCAAGAGAAGCTGCTGGCGCTTGAGATAAATGTCAAGGCTCCTCTTCTTCCTGTTCCTCCATCAGTGGAAACCACAGCTGGACCTTGACGGTTCAAACCATTTACTAATGAAATAAGCTTTCTAAGCTCCACCACCCCCATGATTTCTCATCCGTCAATTTCCTTGGAAATCCTGTGCTCCTTGGGAGACCACAGGCACAAAAGTGATGACTTTGTTTGCTGGCACTCAGACCAGCTCAGGATCGGGAGACTGAAACCCCTCTCTTGAGAAGCGATGAAAGAAAGACCCTGAATGTATATATTCCAGGACTGCATTCTACCATCAAGGTATGGTGGTACAGTTACGCCACACCAAGCCACCACTCCCATCATTGGCACTGTGGCTCTGAAGGCACGAAAGCCAGGCTCAAGGCACCCTGTGTCCCTCAACCCCAGCCTGATGGCCAGACTCACTCCCCTCACTCGGAAGGCTCAGATGCCAGGACACGTGTCGCTCCCACTGAGAATGAAACAATTCCAGGTTCCCCAGGGCGGCTTTTGATCGCTAGCACTGCTCTGACTCAGATGCAAATGGCAAACTAGTTGTACTGATCATCAATTGGGAAAAATGGAAATACAGGAAGTTAAGATTAGCAAGAGGAGAAAAATACATCCTTGCAAACCCAAGTGAAATATTACAAGGAAACAGTGAAGTTAATTATGGCTATTTATTTATTTATTTATGAGATGGAATCTTGCTCTTGTTGCCCAGGCTGGAGTGCAATGGCACGATCTTGGCTCACTGCAACCCCCACCTCCCAGGTTCAAGCAATTCTCCTGCCTCAGCCTCCCAAGTAGCTGGGTTTACAGGCATGCGCCACCACACCTGGCAAATTTTGTATTTTTGGTAGAGACGGGGTTTCTCCATGTTGGTCAGGCTGGTCTCGAACTCCTGACCTCAGGTGATTCACCTGCCTCGGCCTCCCAACGTGCTGGGATTATAGGCATGAGCCACTGTGCCCGGCCAATTATGGCTTTTTAAAAGTTTTTACTTTCAGCCACGTAGCAATTAATACAATGAATGAATATGCCCAGCACAAGCAGTGTACCTAGATGTGGCGGTGTGGCCCACATGCCGTCCTTCGCCCTTTGCTGCAGGATCACAAGCAGATTTTCCCTTTTCAGAGTTTTAACCCCTTACTGAGCTCTGACTGTGCACTGAGTGTTGCACACACATTCTCTCATTTATTCCTCACAACACTCCTGGGGGCAAAGACTATTTTTATCCACCTTTTGCAGGTGAGGACACTGTGCCTCAAGAGAGAGTAAGAATTCATCCTTTTTTATAGCTGCATGTATACATATGTAACAAACCTGCACGTTGTGCACATGTACCCTAGAACTTAAAGTATAATAAAAAAAAAAAAAGAGAGAGCGAGCGAGTAAGAATTATAGAGAAAGGAAGTGGCAGAGAAGTAGGAACCTCGGTTAATCAGACTGGATGGCCGCTCAGCATTCCTCAGGGAATGCGGTAACCCCTGGTAACCTAAGGGCAAACTCCTTGAATCAGCTTCAATGTTACACAGCCCCCATGGGTACTGCTGAAACCACACAGCAGACTCTGAGACCTCTCAGTGAGGCAGAAGAGTACTGAAAACGAGGACAAATACAATGGCCAGGCAAGATGGCTCATGTCTGTAATCCCAGCATTTTGGGAGGCTGTGGCAGGAAGATCACTTGAGCTCAGGAGTTCGAGACCAGCCTGGAAACATGGCGAAACCCATCTTTACAAAAATAAAAATAAAAAAATCAGTCAGGCATGGTGGCAAATGCCTGTAGTCCCAGCTACTTGGGAGGCTGACGTGGGAGGATCGCTTGAGCCCAGGAGGTCGAGGCTGTCACCAAGGTGGGTGACAGAGTGAGATCCTGTCTCAAACAAAACAAAACAAACAAAAAACCTTATTAAAAACAAAACAGGCCAGGCACAGTGGCTCACTTTTATAATCCCAGCACTCTGGGAGGCAGAGGCGGGCAGATTGGTTGAGCTCAGGAGTTCGAGACCAGCCTGGGCAACATGGCGAAACCCCATCTCTATAAAAAATACAAAAATTAGTTGAGTGTGGTGGCTAGTACCTCTAGTCTCAGCTACTTGGGAGGCTGAGGCAGGAGGATCACTTGAGCCTGTGAGGTGGAGGTTGCAGTGAGCCGAGAATGTACCAGCCTGGGTGACAGAGGGAGACCGTGTCTCAAAACAAAGCAAAACTAACATCAACACAGGCTGGTTTGATCCCAGATTAGCAAGCTTTTGGACATTGGAAACTGTTCCATTCACTATCAGCTTTTGCATCTCATCCCCAGGCATTCTAGATGGAGTTCTGCCCTTGACATCTAGGTATCCCCACATCCAAGCCTAAAGCAGTACTTCTCTTCAGCTAGGCTTGTGCCAGCCAGACTGCAGCATGCACCACCCCAGAGCCACCCTAGTGCAGGCATGTGGCTGCTCATCAGTCCCGGTCACTGACCACAGGCACTGCCAAAGTCTAGAAAATGGAACATGCACTGAACTTCATGTGCAGCAAAATTTAATAGTGCAGCATTATTGAATCTAGTGATGCTGAGAGAATGCCTGTCCCATTAAACATCAAGTCCCTGCTTTTATTAACCCTTGATTAACCCGAGTGTTTGATTAACTGCCTGGTAGCCTGCTTTAAAAACAAGTTCACATCGAGACATTAAAATGGATGAATAAATAAATGCATCCATGTATGTCCCAGGAGCAGTGCAAATTTAACTAAAAATGAAACTTCTTTTGTCTGCAGTAAAAGCTCAGTGAGAAATGACAGTCAAAATCAGGACCCTGAAGAATTTCAGCATTCTGCATCATTATAGAAAGAAGAAAGAGGAAGTCACATTCAGGTTGAGCAGCACCTTCCCATGGAGGGAACACCTGGCAGCACTGGCTGAAATGCAGCGGGGTTTTCTGCTTGCCCCCATGGTTACAAAAAGTTCAGTAAACCAAGGTGGGTCCACCTGGCTGCTCTGGGTGCCATGAGCTGGCCTGCCCGTGACAATGCTGGCCATAACTGCCCTGCTCAGAGCGCGGACTGTTCTGTATCAGGGTATCAATGCCAACAAGGATATGAAAGCTGAAGAAACAGGAGCCCGCTAAATGAAAGTGTCGCATACAAAACAGGGTTCATGTCATGGATTCTTGGAACCACTGACAGCTCAAGTGTACCTTTTAATAAGATCTATCAGGGACTTTAACAGCTGACCTCTCTTGATGGGATAACGACCACAAGTAGGATCTATCTTATGCCAGATCTCTTTTTGTTAGAAAGGTTCCAATGAGCTTATTCCACTCTATGAGCAGAAACTGCAGGGAAGACTCCAAAGGACACATCCTATGCTGCTGTCAGGTGGTGTGGGGCTTGTTGGCATGGGTACTACTGGGGATTAGGTGAGAAGTAGAGGCAGGATGTCATTTTATTATTGGGCAAAATACATTCTCTCCACTGCCTAGGCATGCTGGAGGAATAATGAACTGTTGCAGGAGAAAAGCAGCAAACATTCGGTTAATTCACTCAGCAACCAGTGACCGCTCCTCTCCAGGGTGCCGTGAGTGTACTGTTCCAATGTGAGTTCACTCTGACCACATCTCTGCTCAGCCTATGGAGAGGAAGCTGAAGCAGAGGTGGCTGAGCACAGATGAACAGACAGTCCACTCCCCGTGGACTCACATATCAGACCCTGTGCTCTGGGTTTGCTTTATTTGAAAAGAAAAGGGATGTGTGCAGAAAGGGAAAGCTCTAAAGGAAAATGAGCCAGCACAAGCAACCCTTTTGCCCCACTACCAGAAGCTGCCAGGTGTGACCATGGGTCTTGAGAGGCTGTCAACGCATAAAAGGTCTTGATCTTGAGTTAAACACACCAGTCTCCAAAGTGCCCAGATTGACCCCATTTCCATGCTAGGAGTATGCCACCAAGACAAAGGACTTTTAGACACACCTGACTGGACAAGAAGCCATAACCTTCCCCAGCCCAACAATGACCCGAGATGGGAAGAATGGCTGGTCCTACAGCCCCATGACATGCTCTTCGGAACGAGGCAGTCTTCTGGGGCCCTGGAGGCTGGTCTGGCTTCACAGGGTGGGTGCCTACTTTTAGACTCAAAGCATGCTGCGGCCAGTACCCAGGCACCACCTGCCCTCGTAAGGGCTCAGTGTGGCCCGAGGACAGAGACAGGCAAGCTCATGCACGGGTTAGTATCACAGAGGGCAGCACCATCACCACATAGAGAGTACCTGGGAACAACCTACTTTGAGGGCTCAAATGCAGATAGGTCTTCTGCCTTGGGCTTGAGGCTAAACCAGCAAAATAAAATGAAGAAAAACAAAAACATACCCTGTGATATCAACAATGCCATAAGTGCCATCTGCAAAATGCTTGGATAGGCCTGAAATCGTGATGAGTGATTTTGTTTGTTTTAATGGCTTGGAACGGGGTCTCTCCAGCTCTCACACTGCAGGTTTCTGTGGCTGAGGGCACTGCTCATTGCAGCAGCAGTGGAAATGGTGAGACTGTTCCTGGGACCCAGATGACAAGGCTGGGGGTAAGGGGTGAGATGGGGTGTCTGAGGCAGTTCATTTAAGGGCTGACTGGCTCACTGGCTCAGCCATCGTTTTACCTCTTTCCTTAATGACCGAGGCCTCCCTTGAACTCCCCTTTACTGTTTAATAATTTTGTTTTGGAAGGGAAGCCCAGTAAATTACAGAAGCCAGAGGAAAGAAGAATGTGGAATGTGGAAATGCCTTTCCTTCTAGGTTGCACTATTAAAAGGAATTCTCTACCCGGTGCCAGTTGTGACTGGAGTCGAGAGGTAGAAGTCAGGGCTGCCTACTGTACCCAACAACGAAGGCAGGCAGAAACAGATCCCCTGGAGTTTTCAGATACAGCTTAACCACTAAAAACAGAGACAGTCCATAAAACTGGAAGCCTATTTTAAAGACTGAGGTAAAGAATAAAAAATTAACTGTATCAGTATCACCTAAACTCAATGGACAGTCTTATCTTAATAACACCTATTTTATAGGTGTTAACCTGGTCCTGGGCTATCAGTTAAGAGCAGAGCATTATTTGGTATGAGAGGACCCTTCTGCTTGGCCCAAATGAGAGAGGTATGCTCTTGGGCTGATAATTAGTATGGAATTTAGCTTCTGAATCTCGACAATGCTGAAAGCTCAAAATACCAGTAGAGAAAGATATGAAACCATTTGCAAAGTAATAAAGTCTTCTCTTTTAAAACAAAGAGGTTCTTTCCTAGACACTTCCTTTTAAGTATGAAAAAAGTTAAAAATTCAGTTTGGTTTTATAGTCCTTGCCACTTAAAGACACCACAAGACTAGAGGGAAAGTCCATTCTCAATAGCCTCCATTTCATTCTGCTTTCTCATAAAGTAAGGCAGCTCCCTGGGTATAACACCCCTTGGCTTAAAAGGGCATTATGCTTTACTGCTAAATGAGGGCTCAAAATCCACCCTGTAACAGGGGTTCATTACATCAGAGCTTTTAACACAAGCTCAACTTCCATCCAGCCAATGGGTTCATAGTCATTGGCAGATTAAATTCCCTTTCTGGCATAAGTTAAAAAATTTCCTCAACTAAGTACATACAAAAGATGCCAATAGTCTAGTGACTTGGCTACTGAGGAAACCAGATGCCAACCGCACATTTCATTAATGATGGTCCTGATCAGCAAAATACAAGAAAGAGACCCTGGGTACCTTTTTAATGGTATTGTGCTTGCTGCTGCCACCCCTGTCGGAGTTCTCATTGTGCAGAATATCCAGAGCTGTCTCCCTCTCTTTCAGTTTCAAGGCCTCGATTTCTGTCTTGAGTTCATTGAGCTGCTCCTGCAGATGCTTGCTCTTTTCCATGTATTCCACTCTGCCGGCAAGAGGGTATCATGCATCAGGGCTTGGGCAGACAGTGAGACACGGCTCAGGTGCTCTGCGGCCCACAAGCTGCTTGGTGTGCGATCTAGGGTTTGAGGCCTGGGGTTCACGTCTCTACTTGGCCACTCACAGGCCATGGGAGCTTGGGCTGGTCACTTAAATGCTATGAATGTTTCCTCATCATTAAAATTGGGATAATGATCACAGGGCCGTGGTTAGGATTAAATAAAACAGTGTAGGAGGCCAGGCACGGTGGCTCCACCTGTAATCCCAGTACTTTGGGTGGCTGAGGCAGGAGGATTGCTTGAGCCCAGGAGTTGGAGACCAGCTTGGGAAACATAGCAAGACCCTGTCTCTATTTTTAAAAAAAAAAAAAGAAAAGGAAAGAAAAAGAAAGAGTAGAAAAGCCCTTGGTAAATTCTCATAGGGGGCTCTACAAATACCAGCTCTCATGGACAGCTTTTCGTTCTGTACAAAAAAAAAACATACGTGAAACAAGCTTCCTGGGAACCCAGAACAATCTCCTTGTCTCAACCCTTCTTGGAGCAGTAATTCAAGTAAACTCTTTTTTTTTTTTATAGGATCTTGCTATGCTGCCCAGGCTGGCTTTGAACCCCTGGTCTCAAAGGGCTGGGATTATAGGCATAAGCCACAGCGCCCAGCTTCACGTGATCTCTTTTGATAGGCCACATCCACATTCCCACTTGTTCTGAGACTTCATCTAAAGATGACAGAAGCTCACTCAGAAGCTCACCCAACGCAAGGAAGAAAAGATCCCCACCCTCACCTGAGAACAGATAACACTGAGTGACAGCATCTATGATGGTGAAAATCTGGAAACCACCCACAAAGTGTCCAACTACAAGGCATGGCCAGAAAAACCATGCAATACAAATACCAAAAACACTCCATAGGGATTGCCATGGTTAGTATAGAGACTCTGCCAATATGTGCAAGGGTAAGAAGTGCTATGGTCTGAATGTTCGTGTCTTCAAAATTCATATGTGGAAACCTAATCACCGGCTGGGTGTGGTGGCTCACGCCTGTAATCCCAACACTTTGGGAGGCCAAGGTGGGCGGATCATGAGGTCAGGAGTTCGAGACCAGCCTGACCAACATGGTGAAACCCCATCTCTACTAAAAATACAAAAGTTAGCTGGGCGTGATAGCATGCGCCTGTAATCCCAGCTACTCAGGAGGCTGAGGCAGGAGAATCGCTTGCACCCAGGAGGTGGAGGTTACAGTGAGCCGAGATCGCACCACTGCACTCCAGCCTGGGCGATGGAGTGAGACTCCATCTCAAAAAAAAAAAAAGTGTCAGGAGGTGGGGCCTTTGGGCAGTCATGAGGGTAGAGCCTCATGAATGGGATTAGTGCCCTTATAAAAGAGACTCCAGAGAGACCCCTCATCCCTTCCACTGGGTGAGCATGCAGCAAAAAGGGGCTGATTATGAACCAGCAAGAATGCCCTCACTAGACTCCACCTCTGCCCGTGCCTTGATCTTGGCCTTCTCAGCCTCCCAAACTGTGAGAAATCAATTTCTTTCTTTTCTTTTTTTTTTTTTTGAGACAGGGTGTCTCTCTGTTGCCCAGGCTGGAGTGCAGTGGTGCAATCTGGGCTCACTGCAACCTCTGCCTCCCAGGCTCAAGCAATCCTCCCACCTCAGCCTCCCGAGTAGCTGGGACCACAGGCATGTGCCACCACACCCAGCTAATTTTTGTATTCTTAGTAGAAATGGGGTTTTGCCATGTTGCCCAGGCTGGTCTTGAACTCCTGGCTCAAGAGATCTGCCCCCCTTGGACTCCCAAAGTGCTGGAATTACAGGCATGAGCCACTGTGCCTGGCCAAGAAATAAATTTCTGTTGTTTATAAGCTACCCAGCCTCTGGTATTTTGTTACAGTAGCCAAAACAAACTAAGATAGTAACAAAATACAAACTATAAAATAGCAGACACAGAACAGCTTCACCCTGATCCCGGATCCCAACCACATAAATGTATATGTCTGGATAATGGTGAAAGGAACATGGACAGCAGATATGACAGCTAGAGGCTCTGGTTCATTGGCTACTTAGCTATACCCTCAGTGTGAGAGCCCAAAGAAAAACAGCCTGGGTTCTGGTTGCCCATACTGGACTCCATGGAGACACTTTCCCCAAAGGGTTTTCCTGAGGATACCACCCATGGTAAAAGCACATGGGCTGCAGAGTCAGATGGGTGAGGGGTTTCAACCCCTCTGCATCAGCTGTGGGATGCTGGTGGAGTTCACTAAACTCTCTAAATCTGAGTTCTCACTTATAAAATGGGAACATGAAAACCTACCTTTGATGTCATTTTGATGTTTGTAAGTTAGCAGGAATTAAATGAGACAAAAGCCAAAACCCCTGACACACAGGCACTCAATGCATGGTAGCTACTGTGGTTGTCCTCTAGCAAGCAGCAGCAGTTAACCAACTTACCGCTAGCTCTGGGAACTAGGGGCCCTCGCTTAGATTTCCTCTGCAGTGGGGATCCTTTCCTTTCCATCTCTGATCCACTTCTACCCACAATAAAGGGAAGACGGAGGGCAGCTCAGCAATTGCTGCCATGATCAGGCCATGCTGGGGCCCTGCCCAGTGCCACCCACTGCAGCAAAGTGGCCCCACCAGCTGTCAGCTTTCCTTAGCCTCGAGCCTGAGTCTCTTCTCTCACCTTTGTTTGTTCTAGACATGGGAACCACCACAGATCCCAGTTGCTGGAGAACACAACTAGGAGGTGACTACAGTCCAGTAGTATAACAGCAGTTGAACTGACTCAGAGATGCTAACAACCCAGTCCTACACTTTAGGTGAGGCTTAGAGCCACCAAAAACTCCAGCTCACCAGTCAAGTGTTATTTTTATCCTGGATAAAAATTGTTATTTTTATTCGTTCAGAATGAATGCTGATCTGTTGTCCTTAATTTCTGATTAAGGAAATTCTTCCTCCAGGGTGTAAGAGCAGAGCAAACCTTTGCAGGAGTAATGACAGGCTGCTGCAGCGACCTCTCACCTCTGCCCCAGCTTCCCAAGGCCCCAATCACTCAGTCTAGTTCACAGCTGCCCACAGCAGGGCACAGGGGGCTACATACTTTTCTTTCTCTATCTCCATGGAAAGCCGCTTCATGTCAGTATCTTTGAAGTCGAAAGACAGGCTGTCACCAATGAGGTTGAAGCTTGGTATGTCAGGAGGCAACGGTGCTGGAATTGGGTTCATGGGCTGTTAATGAGAAATTTCGGATTAGGAGCTTGGGTCATACAAGCACAGAAGGACACTACTGTGTTGACAACCGATCCTCCAGCAGCCACAGAGGCAATGGGCACAACTCGGGTCCCACCTCCCAATGCCACCACGAGTCCCCATCCCTCCACTTCACTCCCTCCACATTTGCCACTGCCAGGTAAACAATATCAAAGACTACAAATCCAGGAAAATCATCCCTCAAATCTCTAACCGTTCTTCATGCTCAGCTGAATCAAACACAAACTCCCACTCGCTTTTTCATTTAGGAAACTCCCAGGCCCTGTGCAAGGGGCTGGAGATGCAGAAAACAAGACAGCATCCTTGGCTTTGAGCAGCTGAAAGTCTTGTTCAGGAAATAGATGTGTTCACAGATCATCACTGTTAAAAAAGGTAAACACTGTAGCCAGGGAGCGAACAGAGGCTAGAAGAGATGCTGCTTTTGCTGGGATCCAAGGCAGTGCCAGGAGAAGGTCTGCCGGACGGGAAGTATGGCAATGGGTGGGGCAGTGCCCAGTGAGGGTGCCAGGAGTCTGCCATGCAGTGTGGAGAGGTGGGGTGGGAGATGGGCACCACCACAAAGGGCTCCCCACCGGCCCACCGAGGGGCTTGGGCTTGGACAATGGAACCGGAGTAGGGCCTGAAGCAGGGGTGGTGTAGTTTTTTTTTTTTTTGGACTTTCATCCCAGCACAAAGGGTCATCTAAAGAGGACCCCAATCTAGCTTCCCGGCTTCTCCTACTATTTGCCCTACTAAGTCACAGACAGTATTGTTTATTATCCCCTGGACTACTGCCTTCCCATCTCTGTACCCCTGCCTATCCCATTTCTCCTCCCTATGCTCCATCCCTCTTTCAAGGCCCTTCTCAAACACCACGATCTCTCACCAAAGCCTTTCTAGCCCCTCCCAGCCAGCCGGCAACCCTTTTCTTTGCTGTCCCTTAACGCTGTGTTTACGGTTCTCTAATGGTTCTTCTGCGATTCCACCCTGTAAAAGATTTCTTTTTGGCTGTATCTTCTTTCTACTATTTGCAAGTTTCCTGCAAACAATCTGCCTCTTTTTCATCCTTGGATCCCGTATTGAGTCTAGGACAGTGTCTGGGAAAGAGCAGAGGCTTGGAACATTCATTTGAGACATTCTCAAGGCCTGAGGCAGACCGTCTGCAAGGGTGCTGAGAGAAGGCTCCTTGGGTGCCAGGGATGTCCTGTTTTCTGATCTGGGTGCTGGGTACATGGGTATGTTCAGTTTGTGAAAATTCTTCAAACTGTACAGTTGTAATTTGGGCACTTCTCTATGTGTATGTTACACATCATAAAAATTTTCAGCAAAAACGCGTACTAGTTGCTGCACCACTAGTGAGAGCATGAACTGGTATGACTTCTTTGGAGAGTATCAAAATCGAAAATTTGACCCCACAGTTCTATTATAAGAATTTATTCTACCAATATATCCACGTGTGTGTGTCAAGATTTGTGTTCAGGGATGTTCAGTGTCATTTTGTTCAAAATTGCAAAAGAAAACAGACTAAATACTCATCCATGAGGGACTGGTTAAATAAATTACAATCCATCCACACAACAAAACATGATTAAAAAGCTGATATGGATGATCTCCTTCAGGATTGACTGCTAAGAGGAAAGAGCAGTTACAGCAGTGTATAAGCTTTGCTCCAGTGTATATTTTAAAAACAACACATATAGGCTGGGCACAGTGGCTCATGCCTATAATCCCAGCACTTTGGGAAGCTGAGGCAGGCAGATCACTTGAGCTCGGGAGTTTGAGACCAGCTGTGGCAACATGGCAAAACCCTGTCCCTACCAAATAAAAAAAAAAATTAGCTGGGCGTGGTGGTGCATGTCTGTGGTCCCAGCTACTCAGGAGACTGGGGCGGGAAGATCGCTTGAGCCTATGAGGCTAAGGTTGCAGTGAGCCGAGATTCTGCCACCGCATTCCAGCCTGGGTGACAGAGTAAATAAAACTCTCTCTCTCTAAAAAAAAAAATAATAAATAAAATAAAAAATAAAAACATAACACATCTCAGGTGTTCAGCCCAGTTGACTGCTCAGACGACTCCAGTCCCAGCTACCATCTGACTGTGACCACCAGAGAGATCCCCAGCAAGGATCTCTGTCTGGCCCAGTCAACCCAACAAGCCACCAGAGGTACTAACAAAGCCACACAGCTGGCTTGGGTGGGTTGTTACACAGTAACGGAGAACCGGGATATACGGCAACAGCAAACTGCTTACATTTTCCCCACCTCAAACCCTGGGCAGCTTGTGCCTCTGGTGCCCTTTGTGCATCTGGGTCATGTATGTGCCTGTGCCATGTGCATGAATGTAAGTATGGGTGCGTGTGTGTCCGTGCTGTGTGTGTGGATGTGCTATGTGCATCAATGTATGTATGGGTACGTGTGTGTGTCTGTGCCATGTAGATGACTGTGCTGTGTGTGAGTCTGGGCCATGTGTGCATCTGTGCCCTCACCCTGAATACCCTATGTTCTCTTCTCCACCTGGCTACTTCCTGCTCCCCCTTCAAGCATCAGTGTAGACACCACACTGAGCCTCTCCTGCTCCTCCAGGGTGGGCTGTGTCCTCCTCCTCTAGGCACCTGTGCACCCTGAGAACACCTGTCAGGATAGAGACTTCCAACTGCATGGCACTATGTGGACACTGAACAAATATGAAAAAAAAAAAAATGCCAAACTGAATGCACAGAAGAAAGGAAGGAAAGAGGCTTCTATTCATTTTGTGACCCCATTTAATGGAAGTCTGACTCTCTGTCCCCAAACTGAGAGTGGCTGCTCGTTCTTGCACGGCAGTAATTCACTCTGAGGTGTACAGCCAATCCCTTCCCAGAACTATAATTATGATATATGGTATATACTGATAGTTGAAGATTACATTCAGCTCAGCATTAAGAGGCAAGAGAGCAAATTCTCTTGAGGATAATTTGGGACTATATTACTTAGAAAAAGAAAAACATTCCAGAGCTGGAAAAGGCCCTGTTGCCTGTTATCCAGGCAACCAAAGAGACAACTAACTAGTCCAAAGCCAAATGGCAGACCAGGATGTTCTACCCAGTCCCTAACTGCAGGCTCTCTGCACCTCTCATCCAGCCATGTGTTTGCCTGAATGGTCACCCTGAAGGCACCGCCAGATGAACTGAAGGGCCGGGAGGAAAGAGAACATCACCAGGACTAAGGCAGCCCCAGCTGGTGGCCCCCAGGCTCACCGGGTACGTGGGCTTGGTGGCAATCTCCAGGAGCTTCTGCTTGGCTCTTCGCTCCGCCTCGCGTGCTTCCTGCAGGTCCTGCTTCAGCTGATCTGCCTCTTTGGCCCTGCAAGGAAAGGATGAGATGTCAGCTTCACAGAAGAGGGCAGGTAGCAGGAAAAGACACCACCCCACCCCTGCAGAGGAGGGACCTGGGCTAACCCTGAGGATGGCACCCAAAGAGGTGAAAAAGGACAGTGAGACAGGGATATTTACATGAAATCAGAACTTCCAAGCAAGGACAACATTCCTGAGGACTTTTGTTTGAGTTGGTAAATCTAAACTGGAAGAGCAGGAAAACTGGTGGGGAATGAGAGAAACCAGACCTTCTGCAGCCAGGAGACAGAGGAGCTGGAGAGGGCACCAGCAGCTTTCTCTGCTTTATTTTTGGGTGAGAGTGAGCTGGGCAAAGGAAGAACCTGGAGGATCAAAGTTCTTATATTGGATCGCAAAGGGCAGAATGTGCAAGAACTGCGTCTTCACAGCCCCCGGATAAAACACCAGTGGGCCTTGTGCCCACTTTCTCCAGCAGAAAGATGAGCCCAGTCACTGAGGGCACCCGCACCCTGGTGCAGATCCTCATCCTATGGGGCTCAGGTGGTCACGGCATGTGAGGCCTGGTGCAGGGACCTGGCCCAACCTGCATCATGCACAGGGAGTGACCCCCGAATACAGTAAGGGGCCTGAAGCAGGGCAGGCAAAAAGGAACCATATTCCCAGAACGACATGCAAAGCGTGGTGAGGAAAACTGTAGTGAATGCACCTTGGTAGCTAAAAGCCAAATTCAAGTGCTCTAAATCAACAGAGCCAAAAGCTGTGGGGAATGTGTCAGTGTTTATCTGAAGGTTGCAGGCCTAGAATAGTCTTTCAAAAGTACAGACAACAGTTCCATCCTTCAACCTGGCCATGAGTGGGACATCCCAGTCACAGAGATCATCCTAGCCCTCCTCCCCCATGTGCCAAGAAAGGCTGGGGGATGCAGGCACTAGCTTCCCTTTAAAGGTAGGCAGCTGCTGTTCTCCTGCAGCCCCACTGAATGAAAGCAGAAAAGAACCACACTTTTTTTAAATGCACAAAGAGCCTCCTCACATCTCTTCAGCTGAAAGCGGTCTGTGGATATGCTCAGGGGTTTTCCTGCACACACGGCCATCAGAGGGACAGGGGCTTATCAAAGAGACACAAGTATGACCAGAGAGGCCCCCCTGGAGGGGGAACTGAGTTCCTGTGCCCAACCAGTAGCGCCAGCCCCAAAATGGATAAAGCACCAGTCACCATCAGCCAAGGAGGAGCCTCCCCACGGCCCAGAAGATGGGCAAGCAGCTTGAGGACAACTGCTGTAGAGCTCAGCCTCAGGGCAGGCTGGTCTGCGGCCCTTCGCCAGCCTCCTCGCCAGTCTGGTGCCCGGTGCCCCCTCACCTCCTCTCTGACTCCTCAGCCATCTTCAGTGCCAGCACCTCGGCTTCCAGCACCTTCTGCTCCATCAGGCGCTTCTCCTCCTCCGTGCGAATCGCTGTGGCCTTGATGCGCTGCATTTCCTGCTCAGCCTCTGCGGCCTTCTGGGCCAGAAGTTTTGCCTCCTCCTCGGTGATCTGGGCCTTTTCAGCCAACAGGTCAGCTGTCTCCTCAGACCGCATCTGGAGGGCACAGTGCTCTTAGCTGAAGTGGGATCATGTGCTGTTCTCCCGCCCAGATCTGCCTTGAACACTGAGATGGGACAAACCAGAGTCTCGGACTCCTGGGGCCCTGCTGCTGAGTGCCCTCCATGACCCTCTGACAAGAAATGACAAGCCACATTCCCCAACTTTTCAGAAGGGCCCTTCGGGCTGCACCCATGGGGAGTAACAAGAGCACCTTCTCTGAGTACCCACCTCAGCTCAGGCTTATGCTTCACGTGGAGAAAAACAACTTAAACTCTGTTCTTTCCCTTTAAATCAGTGGTTAGAACCAGAGGAGTTTTTTGTCCCCTGCAAGAGACATGTGGCAGGTGGGGCACGGTGGCTCACGCCTATAATCCCAGCCTTTTGGGAGGCTGAGGCGGGCAGATCACCTGAGGTCAGGAGTTCAAGACCAGCCTGGCTAACATGGTGAAAACCCATTTCTACTAAAAATACAAAAAAAAAAAAGCTGGATGTGTTGGCGCGCACCTGTAATCCCAGCTACTTGGGAGGCTGAGGCAGGAGAATCGCTTGAACCCAGGAGGCGGAGGTTGCAGTGAGCCAAGATCATGCCATTGCACTCCAGCTTGGGCAACAAGAGTGAAACTCCATCTCAAAAAAAAAAAATAAAAGTACAGCTGGGCACGGTGGCTAACACCTATAATCCCAGCACTTTGGGAGGCTGAGGCGGGCAGATCACGAGGTCAGGAGTTCGAAACCAGCCTGACCAACATGGGGAAACCCCATCTCTACTAAAAATACAAAAATTAGCTGGGCATGGTGATGCATGCCTGTAATCCCAGCTGCTCAGGAGGCTGAGGCAGGAGAATTGCTTGAACCTGGGAGGTGAAGATTGCAGTAAGCTGAGATCGTGCCACTGTACACTCCAGCCTAGGCAACAGAGCGAGACTCCGTCTCAAAAAAAAAAAAAAAAAAAAGAGACATGTGGCAATGTCTGAAGATGTTTTGGATTGTTACAAATGGAGGGTGAGGTGCTGCTACTGGGATCTAGTTCCTACAGCAAAGGATGGTCAGCCCCAAATGTCAGTAGTGCCCAGGCTGAGAAGCCCTGCTATAAAGGCAACCTCGTGGTGAAAGTGGAGTTTGGCTGCACATAAGCTCAACCTAAATCTGCTTCTGCCAACACAGGTGAAAAGAAAAGGCACTGATTTTTTCAAAGCTGAAATTAAGTATTTCAAAGCAAACGCTGCTAACTCATGGTTTTCAGGAGACCAAGCTCCAGAAAAGCCAAGGAAGTCCCCAAGTAGCCTCCTGGAACCCCAGCCCCTCAGAAATCACCAGTGCTTCGTTGGCCATTGTTGCTTCTTCTTTCATCTGCAGCAGCCTCCTCTCCAACTCATCCCTCGTGCGTTCAGCCTCCTCCCTCATCTGCTTCTCTCGAGCGAGGCGCTGCCGCTCCATCTGCGAGGGGTGAAGAAAAACAGTCATTGAATCACAGGGCTCGAGACCTAGGGTGCCACAAGGGCCCAAAGATGCCCCATCTCCAGTCTCCCCTTTTGGGACCTTTTTCCTTCCCTTTCCTTTAGGTAGCCAGGGTCATTCTTATTGCCCCCCACCCCGTCCTTCTAAACCAGTTGCAGAGTTGAAAGCTGTGCCACTTGAAAAACAGTCTAGTGGTGAATGAACAAATGAACAAACAATAAAAACCTGTTGAGTCTTGACCCGGATAGAAAAAGGCATTCTTTTTTTTTGGTGGAGGGGACAGAGTTTTGCTCTGTCACCCAGGCTGGAGTGCAGTGGCGCGATCTCGGCTCACTGCAACCTCCGCCTCCCAGGTTCAATCAATTCTCCTGCCTCAGCCTCCCGAGTAGCTGGGACTATAGGCACCCGCCACCATGCCTGGCTAATTTTTGTATTTTTAGTAGAGATCAGGTTTCACCATATTGGCCAGGCTGGTCTTGAACTCCTGACCTTATGATCCACCCACCTTGGCCTCCCAAAGTGCTGGGATTACAGGCATGAGCCGCCGCGCCTGGCAGAAGGAGGCATTCTTATACACGGTGCACTGAAATGGCTACCTTGCCAATGTTGCTTTTTGTTGGGAAACCCCAGGTGGCTCTGCCCCATGGCCGATGGGATGCAATGCAGGACCTCCTCCCTCAGATAGAGCCCCAGAAATAAGCAGCTTTCTCATCTGGGCAGGCAAGCCATCTCACCATTTCTAATCCACATGGACCCCTCTCACATCTCTGATTTCATCAACAATAGCTCCACTCTTGCCTCTGACCCACAGAGAAGATGGAATCATTCTACGTGATGCATCAATAGTTCACACATTGTATTTCACAGGGGGGAGCTGCAACAGCCACAGCACAGACTTGCACAGCCTCATGTGGAGACAACTCCTGAGCCAGGCCTAGGACAGGAGGGAGCCAGGCGGGAAACACAGCCCCGTGTCCTTAAGGCAACAGCACAAAGCCACCACTACCTCCCTTGCCTTCTGGATCACTGCATTAATTGGGCCACATGCTGAGCTTAATAAGGGGAACAAGCACAAGACAGTGCCATTCCTCTGTGATCCCAGGGTACTAACTGAGTTCAAAAAGCAGAACCCAGAAGTGACCACTGCACTATTTTCTGCCTTAAATAATTAAAGCACATTTAATTACTTCTTGCTTCAATCTTATCCCACACTCTGGTCATACAAGGTTTCTAAGACTGCTGCTTTTTCTAAATCCTAAGCCAAATACACACACACACACACACACACACACACACACACAAGCTCAAAAAGATAATGCAAAGACAAGCAATAAAACAGTGAAAGTTCTTCTCCAATTTTCTCCTTGTAAGTCAATGAAAAGCTTGGCCAATTTGTTCTCTAATTTCCATCATATTACAATTTCCATAAGGTGGCTTACTACATATCTACAATTCTTTTAAAAAAAAAGAAACTAAGAAAGAAAGAAAGAAAAAGCCCAGTCAGGCCAGGCAGGCATAGCAGCTCATGCCTGTAACCCTAGCACTTTGGGGGGCTGAAGTAGGAGGAATGTTTGAGCCCAGGAGTTTGAGATCAGCCTGGGTAACATAGCAAGACCTGATCTCTACGAAACAATTAAAATTAACTAGGTGTGGTAGCATGCACTTGTAGTCCCAGCTACTTGAGGGGCTGAGGCAGAAGGATTGCTCAAGCCCAGGAGCTTGAGGTTACAGTGAGCTATGATGGCACCACTGCACTCCAGCCTCAGTGACAGAACAAGACCCTTTTATTAAAAAAAAAAGCCAGGTAATCTCCTTCAGTTCCTGGCCCTGTACTTTCCCTGAGACCTCTACCCCAATATAAAAGACCTCCTATTCACAAAAGAAGTTTACTGCATACAAAGACTGTAAGGTGTAATATACGTCCCTTCATCTGAGATGGAGAAGGTATATCATTAGTTTCACCTGATGGATGAGAAAACTAAGGTCTGGAAGGTAAGTCATTGACTTACTCACATTCTAAATTTCAGATCTGGCTCCAAGGTCAGTGTCTGTCCACCTGATCTGTGGTTGCCCAGATGCCAGGTTTGTGGCTCTGCTGTGCTGTAAGCAGTGCCGATCTGCAGTGTTCCTGCTATTCTCTGCCAGGGCCCACAGACTGCATATTCCCTGACACTTTCAGATTTCTTACTTCTAAGCTTTGCTCTGCTAAGAAAAAGGTCAAAGAAAGCTCTCCTCCTCCTTCTTATTTATTTACTTATTTATTTATTTATTTTGGTATTTTGTTTCTGCTTCTGTTTTAAAACAGGGTCTTGCTTGGTCACCCAGGCTGGAATGTAGTGGTGCAATCATAGCTCACTGCAGCCTCAAATTCCTAGGCAAGTGATCCTCCTGCCTTGGCCTCCCAAAGTGCTGGAGTTATAGGGATGAGCCACTGCCACGAGCTCTTCATGAAACTGCCACTATGACCCCATGCTGGCTCAGTAGGATTTCTTTGTCCAACAAATCCATCCCATCACCCTGAAAGCATCCCAAAGAACACATTTGTGGCCCACTACCTCAGAAAGCAAAGAGATAGAGAGCTGAAAGCACACTGGGCATTTCATTCTAAATCCTAGGGCTGGGACCAGCCTCTCCAATGTATCCAAATCAGAAAGGTGCACACAGACTAATTATTACACTTCTGAGCTTGCAAGTCCTGCGGGCAGCCAACTGCAGCTGCTGCTACTCTATCTAGTAGTTTATCCAAAAACACAATTGATATTCTCAGCAGTAAGGCCCAAATTAGTTGTGTGGATTTCCATGAGCAGAGAAGGTTTATGAGTAGAAAACAATGATGCAGATCATCCAGTCTGCTGATAGATGCTCCTGGCACCTCCTGGGGCAGGTGACATGCCATAAGGCCTGACCTGCAGTGGGGAATTGCAGCCAGAGTCAAATTAGCATTCCAGCCGCAAGCACTGAAATGCCACCTGGCATTCTATCACCATCTAATTAGAAAAGGAGAAGGCTGCACAAGGAGGCAGACAGGCAAAAAAAGAAAGCAAGCTAGCTAGCCGGACGGATAGATGCATGCACTCTTGGCTATTTCATCCCAAACTGGTGTTAATCACACTTAATTTCTCCAAGCGTAGAAATTACTAGAGATGTTTCTTTTAGATATGCTATTAGGGTTTATTCCTCATTTCCAGAGATGACATCCCACCAGGTAGGCATCGGCAAATGAAGATCCAAAAGGTATAAAACAAGAGCAGGTATGTCCACGGCCAAAAGACTCCTGCCAGCCCATGACCACTCCTCGCCTCCCAGGCCAGGACTGACCACACAGTGACATCATCAGTTAAAACAAGGTTGTGCTCACCTGCTTTCTAGCCTTCTCCTCCCTGGCCTGGGCTTTCATCTGCTGAACTTCCAAAGAATCGGCTTTCCTTCTCCTCATAAATAGATCATGGTTCCCGATACATAGCTGGAGAATCTGTGGCCACAGAAGCAGACAAAAAGGTTAATATCCACAAATTTACTTCACTGCCTACTGGCCCACTAGTGCCATAGCAGTTTGAGCTCTTGCAGGTAGCAGTAAACGTGAAGATGAATGCATAGAGTGAAACACCAAAGCCCTACTAGTGGCCTCTAGTGCCGTCAGCTCTGGAAACATGCAAAATGAAGGCGCCTCAGATATGCCAGGAGGTAAAAATCATAAATCAAGAGAGGACTGGAGGACACTTCACCATGTCTTCTGGGTGCACCTTACTCTCCTACATCAAGATGTGGTTCTGCAGACCAGGGAGGATAGGAAAGCTCGTTCAGTAAGCTGGGCTGAGGCAACAGGTTATGCATGTGGAAAAAAATAAGTTGTATCCCTCCCTTACACCTTACACAAAAATCAACTCCAGAAGGATTAAATACTTAAATGCAAAGATTAAGCCCTTGAAACTTTTAGAAGACAATATAGAAGAATATCTTTATGATCATAGGATAAGAGAAGATGCCAAGTAAGACACAAAAAGTGATTAAGGAAAAAATGTATATATTTGTCTACATTAAAATTAAAAATTCTTATTGTCAAGACATAAAAAAAGAAAAAGAGCAACAAACTGGAAGATATAGCCAATAAAGAAAACAGGCTAGGTGCAGTAGCTCACACCTGTAATCCCAGCACTTTCGGAGGCCAAGGTGAGAGGATCCTTGAGCCCAGGAGTTCAAGACCAGCCTGGGTGACATAGTGAGACGCCATCTCCACAAAAAACTCAAAACATTTGGCCAGACCTGGTGGCTCAGCACTTTGGGAAGTGTAATCCTAGCACTTTGGGAAGGGGAGGCAGGCAGATTGCTTGAGCCCAGGAGTTTAAGACAAGCCTGGACAACATGGCAAAACTTTGTCTCTATAAAAAAAATACAAAAAATTAGCTGGGCATGGTGGTGTGTGTCTGTAGTCCCAGCTACTGGGGAGGGTGAGGTGGGAGGATCACTGAGCCTGGGCAGGTCCATGCTGCAGTGAGACATGATCGTGTCATTACATTTCAGCCTGGGCAACAGAGTGAGACCCTATCTCAAAATCTCAAAAAAAAAAAGTTCATTTGATAATGAGATACCATTTTAGATGCACAAGATTGGCAAAAATTTTAAAAGGCTGATAATACAAGTATTAAGGATAGCAAAAAACAAACTTCACCCACTACTGTTGGGTCTGTAAAAATCGATTCACCTTCTTTAGAAAACAATGTGTCATAATTTTGAAATTTAAACATATACCAAGCCCTGTACTTCTACTCCTGTGTATATACTCTAAGCTCTATTTTTGATTTATTTTTATGTATTTATTTTTTTTTTGGAGACGAAGTTTTACTCTTGTTGCCCAGGCTGGAGTGCAATGGCATGATCTCGGCTCACTGCAACCTCCACCTCCTGGGTTCAAGCGATCTCCTGCCTCAGCCTCCTAAGTAGCTGGGATTTATAGGCATGCGCCACCACGCCCAGCTAATTTTGTATTTTTAGTAGAGACAGGATTTCTCCATGTTGGTCAGGCTGGTCTTGAACTCCTGACCTCAGGTGATCCGCCTGCCTCAGCCTCCCAAAGTGCTGGGATTACAGGAGTTGAGCCACTGTGCCTGGCCCTCTTTTTTATTATTTAAAAATTTTATTTATTTTCATTTTTTTGGAGACAGGGTCTTGCTATGTTGCCCAGGTTGGTCTCGAACTCCTGGCCTCAAACAGTTATCCTGCCTTGACCTCTCCAAGTGCTGAGATTACAGGCGTGAGCCACCCCACCTAGCCCAGTATACTCAAGACTCCAAAGAAACTATTGCCTATGTGCACCAGGAGGCAGATACAAAAGTTTTCATAACAGCCTGTTAAAACAGTATAGAAGTGGCTGGGTGCAGTGGCTCACGCCTGTAATCCCAGCACTTTGGGAGGCCAAGGTGGGCAGATCACAAGGTCAGGAGTTCGAGACCAGCCTGACCAACATGGTGAAACACCATCTCTACTAAAAATACAAAAATTAGCCGGGCGTGGTAGTGGCCGCCTGTAATCCCAGCTACTCAGGAGGCTGAGGCAGGAGAATTGCTTAAATCCGGGAGGCGGAGGTTGCAGTGAGCCGAGATTGTGCCTGGGCAACAGAGTGAGACCCCATTTCAAAAAAAAAAGTATAGAAGTAAAAAGCACTTAATTATCCATTAACAGAAGAATCAGAAAAATATATAACAGAGTGCTACAGAGGTGAGAATGAACAGACTATCTTTAAGCATCAACAAAGATATATCTCAAAAAAATAATGAAAAAGGAAAAGGAAAATGACAAAAGAATATATATACTTGACAGCATTTAGATAAATTTCATAAACATATGACATTGAATGGTATTTTTCTTTTGCCATATATGAAATAAAATTCTGTTGAAAAGCAAGAGGATGATGAATACTCAACTCAAAACAGTGATCACCCTTGGGGAGAGGGAAAGGAGAGACCAGCAGGGTGTTAACATGAAGGGTCTCAACAGTATTGGGACTGTGCTATTTCTTTTTTCCTTTTTCTTTTTCTTTTTTTTTTTTTTTCCTGACCTTGTGATCCACCCGTCTCGGCCACCCAAAGTGCTGGGATTACAGGCGTAAGCCACCGCACCCGGCCAGGACTGTGCTATTTCTTAAAGTGGGGTTGTGGGTACACAGCTATTCACTTTTGTTATTCTTTATAATTCATATGTTACACTTATCCTTTTATATGTATGAAATACTGCATTAAAAATCCTTTTTAAAAATTCCTCATCGGCTGGGCGCAGTGGGTCATGACTGTAATCCCAGCACTTTGGGAAGCCCAGGCGGATGGGTCACCTGAGGTCAGGAGTTCGAGACCAGCCTTACCAATATGGTGAAACCCCGTCTCTACTGAAAATACAAAAATTAGCTGGGCATGGTGTCTCATGCCTGTAATCCCAGCTACTTGGGAGGCTGAGCCAGGAGAATCTCTTGAATCTGGGAGGCGGACGTTGCAGTGAGCCGAGATGGCACTGCCACTGCACTCCAGCCTGGGCGACAGAGCGAGACTCTGTCTCAAAAAAAAAACAAAAAAAAAAACTTCTTCATGATATAATTTAGTTTTAACTCTTTAAGCTAAACAGAAAGTATGCGCCAAGTGAGATACCATTCTATACTTCACAAGATGTCACTCTGATATCCTTTAAAAAGAAGTATTCAATTCTCAGAAAAGCTACCATTATCAGTAATGAAAACCAGGATCTCAACTTACCAGCTTATTAACACGAAGCTTTGAGGAGTTAAACTTGAAGACATCAATTTTCTTATCCAGTGGTTTAATAGTAAACTGGAAGAATGAAGCAGAACACAGTTTCAGTCCGACAGCCTGGAATGTTACCAGCAATTGGAAATTCCACAAATGCGCAACCACACTGGCCACAGACCAGCATGAAGTTATGCCTTGTCCTGGCTTCCCAGTATCCAGGCACTAAACCTCAGGGAATTAGGAGCACCAAGTCTCGGGCTGTGGAAGCTCAGGACCCTAAAGGTACGCTCTCTAGACCATCTTAGGCATGAGTGTGGGAAGGGATTCTTGACAACCTAAAATAAGCATCCTTAATGGGCCCAACCCTGAGGCCAACACTGGAGGGCTACTGTAGTCGAGGGCATGGGCCCACCTTCATGAAGCTCACCATCTAGTTGGAACTAGGCTAACAACAGCCAATTACTCAAGAAATCACATCAAATATTAGTGCTTCACTGGGTGGTACAAATCACAAATATGTGGAGGTTCAGAGTAGATCCACCATAAGCAAGAGAGAGTGAAGCTGATCTTAGAAGAACAATCCAACAGGGTAGCTAAAAGGCAGGTGAAGGGGCATTCTGCACAGGGCAAAACCAGAAATAAGGTAGAGACAGGGAAATGAGCTGTGTGTGTGTGTGTGTGTGTGTGTGTGTGTGTGTGGTATTAGCTTTTTGGTGACTAAGATGATATAATAGGTTTAGCCTGAGAGGGAGGAAGGGGTGGGTGTAGGGGCTGGCAGTGAGAATAAAAGTCAGAGGCGGCCAGATATGGTGGCTCACACCCGTAATCCCAACACTTTGGAAGGCCAAAGCAGGAGGATCGCTTGAGGCCAAGAGTTTGAGGCTGCAGTGAGCTGTAATTGCACAACTGCACTCCAGGCTGGGCAACAGAGCAGACCCCTATCTCAAAAAAAAGAAGGGTTTAGGTTTGATGTGACAGGATACCTGAGCTCACCACAGGTTTCTGAACATGGGAATAATTTGGTAAAAGCTGTTAATAGAATCAAATGGGGAAAAAATGGACTATAGTAGAAGGGAAAACAGTTCTTGATGCTGAAATCAAAATGGAGAGAAAGATGAATGATAAAGACAGGGTGGTGGCTTGGTAGGAGAACCTAGGGTTAGACCACTAGCAGGAAAGCCTGCAAGGAACAAATGGCTGCTGCTCTCAACCACTCCCGATAAGACCAAACAGATCCTAGATTTCCAAGATGCACTTACAAAATGGATATCCATTCCCAAGAAAGACTTGCTAAGCAGATAAATATGTTTGGGAAGATATATTTCTTTCACACGTTATATTGCCCAAGAAGGGGTTAGTACACTGAGGACAGAAAATGATCCTTTGTTTAGCTTTCAGCCAAGTTAACTTAGAAGCAGTGTTGCTCTTGTGTAGGCTGCTATTCATGAATTTTGTGAGCTTATTTTTGGCTTTGCTGTCAAACCCTGGAGCTGTCATTGGGAAACCACAAGTAGTGGGGAAACCGCAGGCTCTGCACCATGCCAGGGCGTACACAAAGAATCAATGGATCATTTAAAATAAACTAACATTTCTGTTTTGACAGCATGGCTGTCATGCATAACTACCAAGACTACTTCTTTTATGTCAAGTCAGCTTGGGGTCTGCTTACTGCATGAGTTATTGACATGATGGAACATGATGGCGCCTGTCCCCCGGAGAGGGCATATTAGAGTTTACTGTGTCAGGCCATAGTATGGGAGATTTCAATCCTTGGCTTCTTTGAAGAACGGGTGTTTAGGGAGCCTTTAGCACACAAATGTGTGGACGTGCAATAAACAGACTTTATGAAATTGGGAGATGAAAAACTACCATACGGTGGCACACATACAGCTTTATGTCATGTGGAACTTTCAATTTAAGTACTTTAAAAAAGAAATACCTAACTGCTTATCTCCTGGGCTAACTACTAACAAAAACTTCAAAGTCAGAATGTTTTGAATTAAGGGGCTCAGTCTGTCTTATCAAGCATGGCTGAGTAGATCCCAACCATATACTGGAAACCAGGGGCCTGGTGTTCCCTTCCTTGAGTTGCCATGAAAAAGAGAAAACAGGAAATATGCTCAGGTTTGGGGCTCTGCAGGCAGCAACATAAGCTGTTCCTGTTCTTCACTCTCTAGTCTGTGTCCTGGCTGTGCAGGTACCAGGAGGTCACTGAGTGGAGCCTCCCTCTCCCCAGTGCCCCTGTGCTCTCAGGACTCAGCCTCTGGGCCTCCCTGAAAGGCGGGGGCTGTGGCATCAGCAACTCTGGCTCCTAATCTCTGCTACTTCACTCAGACACAGGTCACTTGATCCTTCTGTGTCTCTGCTTCCTGATGTGACACAGAGATATTGACAACACAGCCCCTGCCTTTACAGCAGTGTTCTTATAGAGATTAAATTCAGACGGTCAGGGTGAATGTGCTTGTATGTGGAAGACTACATTTGTTGTCATCATGTCTCTTCCACGGCACTTATTTATTATAGCAGGTGAGTAGTTACTTGACTTCCTTGAATGCTAAGACTGGATTTTCTACATCTTTGTTTCCCCCATGAAATCTAACACAAAGCAGATGCTCAATAATTCCTTTAAAATTAATGAAGAACTGCTGAGCACAGTGGCTCACACCTGTAATTCCAGCACTTTGGGAGGCTGAGGTGGGAGGATTGCTCAAGCCCAGAAGTTCAAGACCAGCCTGGTGGGCAATGTGGCAAAACCCCATCTCTACAAAAAATTAGCCAGATGTGGTGGCACACGCCTGTAGTCTGTTACCTGGGAGGCTGAGGTGAGAGGATCACCTGAGCCCAGGGAGGTCAAGGCTGCAGTGAGCCGTGATCATGTGCCACTGCATTCCAGCCTCGGTGACAGAATGAGAGCCTGTCTCAAAAAATGATAATAATAAAATAAAATGAATGAAGAATGAATGAATGGATGAGTGAATGAATGAATGGATGGATGAGTAAACATAAGATTATACATTATGGGACCTTTTTGGTAAAAGTCACCACCCTATATGGAAATATTTAAATTCTAAGAGCATTTATCTAAGTTATTCCACCTTAATTATTTTGGAATTCTTGTAAGCATATTAACCTAATATACTTATTTATATAATTACTGAGAGATACACACACAAAACACATATATGTCCATATGTGTATATGTGTGTATATGTATTTCTCTGCCACATGTATCAAGCACCGGACACAGAAAGAAAGCTCAATAAAGACCACACTTAAAATACGAAGAGAATTTAAGCCAGGTGCTGTGGCGCACACCTGTAGTAGCTACTCAGGAGGCTGAGGTGGAAGGATTGCTTGAGCCCAGGATTCAAATCCAGTCTGGGCATGCATAATGAAATCCTGTCTCTAAAAAAGAAAAGAAAACATACAAAGAGAATGTATCGACAAAAATAGAAAGCCAAGTAATAAGAAAATGTTACTGTTTTTGTTCACTATTCTTTGGGGTTTCTCCCTGGCCAGTTGAGCTTCCCAGTTTCCTATTAGTCATAGTGGGGTTATTGATGCCAATACTGTTCTGTAAAGACTTCGAAAATCAACAACCACACCCTCAAAGCCTGGGAATTAAAGGACTCTATGAATAACAAGGAGATGCCCTGGCTGGGGAGGCTCCAGTGAGGGGGGCAGACAGGGAAAGATCTGCTGGACCCATCTGCAGTACACACATGTCCTACCTCCTTGTCACTGTACGAGATGTTTCGGATTTCATTCCACGGGAAGGAGATCTTGGGGGTCAGTCTGTTCTCAGGGTCATAAATGTGAAGCCCCAGGGCATCCACTCCAAGCAGCAGCTCTGTGCCCTTTTTATTCTGTGGATCCAATAAGAACAGCTACTGTAAGCGCCAGCTGAGGCTCAAAATTTTATTCAACCTTCCAAAGAATCTGGCACACACTGTCACATGTGACAAGTTTCAGCAGGTCCCAACAGAAGTCACAGCTGTCTTATAAACCAAGAAGATTTCAGCTTTCTGAATTGGGGCAGGTAGAAGCAAAACTGTTCCATTCTTGTGACTTCTGGGTCCCCCAGAACAATCACTGAGGGCTTCTGTCACTGGCTCGATGGCTAAAGGAAGAGTAACATAAGTGTTGTTCCCTCTGGTTAAATAAGCAGGCTATCATAGGTATAGAATTAAAGCCCATAGGTTTAGGCGGGGAGCAGTGGCTCATGCCTGTAATCCCAGCACTTTGGGAGGCCGAGGCGGGCGGTTCACGAGGTCAGGAGTTCAAGACCAGCCTGGCCAGCATGGTGAAACCCCATCTCTACTAAAAATACACACAAAAAAATTAGCCGGGCATGGTGGCACGCGCCTGTAATCCCAGCTACTCAGGAGGCTGAGCAGGAGAACTGGTTGAACCCAGAAGGCTGCAGTGAGCTGAGATGGTGCCCCGGCACTCCAGCCTGGTCGACAAAGAGAGACTTCGTTAAAAAACAAAACAAAAAAAACCCATAGGTTTAATGATTTCTTATATTTAAAGAAACCATTGTTGGACTACTAGGAAGAAAATTTTCAGTGCCTGGGGCTGGATGGTCTCATTTTATGATAAAATGTAGTCTTCATGTGATAAAGCAAGTCTGGTAAAATGTTAACTGTAGAATCTAGATTGTGCATATATATGGGTATTCACTGAAAAATTCTTTCAGTTTTCCTGTAAGTTTGAAATTTTTAATAATTGCATGATGGGAAATACATATCAAAAAGAATTCTATTCATCAACAAAGTTGTCTAAAAGCCGTACTTATGCTCTGCCCCTGACAGCGGTCCTGGCCAGCAGTCAGAGCAGCCCGCGGCGGGTGCCCTGGGCTCCCACAGCACTGAACCTGCGACGGACTGAGTGGCTGTATCTTCACGTGCAGGTCCACCCGCCAGTGCTGTGGTCTAGCCCTCATTTGGAGTGGAAGGAAACTCGCTGCACAAGGATACTACAGCTCCTGACCCCTTGACGATAATGGAAACTGAACCAAGACTCAAGGGCAGAAAAACAGGTCTGCAAACTGAGAAGGTACTGGGACTGTGAAGAGAAGTACCCATCTAACAGCAGATATCAGACTGAGGAGTGAGTACTCCAGCATAAATCTTTTTACTCCTAACATCCTGAAGTCAGGTGCTATCACCAAACCATGAGAGACTCTTCTGCTCGTCAGCAAAGCCATGAAAGCTACTGCATTAATAGAAGTGAGGCTTTGTACTTTTACATCTGCAGTACATTTTGGAAAATGAGATGTTTCATTGTGTTTCAATAGTCAGAAAATAGTTTCTGACTATTTAGTTTAAATTTTTAAAAAAAGATTCAGCCTTCTGCCTCCTACCATTATGACTCCAACACTCCTAGAGATTAAACAGAGAGAGAGGTGAGGACTCAAGCAGCCCCTTTTAAACTGTTTTAAGCATACATCTTCCTTAGTTAATGGTGAGATTTCAGGAAATTTAACATAAAAGACACTAAGATAGCCAGTAGCTTTGTCTATTGCTCAATATAGGAAACACACACAAAAAACAGTATCCATTAGTCTGACTGATGTAGAAATATTCCCTAATAAGAAACCTTTTCAGCCAGGCACAGTGATACTCCCCAGCTACTTGGAAGGCTGGGGTGGAAGGATCACTTGAGCCTAGCAGGCCTGGGCGATATAGCAAAACTCCACCTCTAAAAAACAAAAAAGATTTTTAAAAACCAAAAAAACTGTTTTCTGAGGATTATAAAACTTTAGTTTTCTAGAATCTAGGTGGCCAGAACATGGGGCAAGAGGAGTTGAGTTGACAAAACCACAGAAATGTGTTACATTAGTTTGACCTTAAAGAAACCAAGCAATTAGCAAATACAAACTGACAGAACTTTAGAAAAGAACTTCCTGTACTATTATGGAGCATCTTTTAGGCACTTTAAGTGTGCCTTATTTTCTTATGCAGTGTAATCCATACAAATCTGTATTTACAAAATACAAATGAAGTAGAAAGCTATCCTAGAATATTTAAAATATGTTTCAATTTACCTGAATTTAATACAACAACTGTAGGAACCCAATAAGGGAAAGCAAAGCATGACTATGAAAATAAAGGTGGACCCGCCTCATTGTTTTAACATCTACTCATCTGCAGTTTGGAGTCCGTAGTGAAATGCTTTGGCAAATCGCATGCATCCCTTTGTAAGAAGCTGCCTATACACTGCATCCAGATACTGACCCACAGGAGAAAGACATTCTAAAGGCCCAGATCTGGGCTGCACACAAATGCCTCTCCCTGCAGAAGCAGTGGGTTCCCAGCAGACAGCAGACTATTAATAGTCTGAATAGAAAACCAATTAGCCTCATAGTGAGAATCCCAAACAAATCAGTAATCTATAAAGGCAGATCTACTCTACTAGTGCCTGGGGTGGGGGTGGGGGTGGGGATGGGGGTGGGGTGTGTGTTGGGGGGAGAAGTACTTACAAGTGCTCCCTGTGGACGGAGATCTCACAGAGCCAGAAATAATCAAATCTTACACTCAGAGCATTCAAACAGGTTTCTGCTGAGAGCAGAACCAGGTCCAAGTCCCCCAAGGCTCAAGTGACACTTAATTACCTATGATCTAATTGAAGTCCAAAAATAGAAAGTTAGGCACTAAGACCTCTCTTTCCTTCCTCTTTCCTTCTTTACCACAGAACCATAAAAGAGTCTATCGCCTTGGAATGAAGAAGTAACCATTTTAGCAGTCTGGCCCTCACTCAGTCTCTGTCTACTACACAAGGAGCTCAGAGAGGTTTCAACACACCCGGATTGCAAAGTAGTTCACACCGTACATCTCCAGGTCCTGAGCTATCTTCAGATATTCCATTTCAGCTTCATCCCTGTGGGGAGAACGGAAGACACTGTCATTGGAGCTAAGTGAGATGGGTGGAGAGCGGGTGGGCACCAAATCAAGCATTCTGACCCTGCCATTCCTCTAGAGCCACGTCGCTGCCAGAAGACAAAAGCCACAGCAGACACCAGCAAAGCTCTGCCCGGCCCTGAGTCTATTAAACACACTGAGGTCAAGCAGAATTTCCCATCCCCATCAAAAGATAGTCAGAGAACAGACTCATCACGGAGTTTCTTGGCCTTAGTTTCCCACCTTGCCCTTGGTAAACAGTAAACTCATCTCAAGTAATTCAACAAGAGTGTGTGGTATGTTATCTTCTACCCTCAAACAGATTTGGGTGTTGGAATTTTATTTAAGTTCTTGCTTTTCCTTTGTGTACTTTCTTTACCTGGAAGGTTCTGGAAATGAAACAGCTCTCTCTGCAAGCTTCCTGAGTATTGTTGGAGGTTAGGGCAAGAGTTATCTGGGTTGTAAAACCCAAGTCAGATCACCTTCATCTAAGTTATAATTTAAAGTAAGCTCTTGAAGTAGCAATAACTTGCAGAAAACTCCCAAACAGGTATCATACTGAAATATTTTAACTCAAGTCTCCCTATGACCTTGTCCTCTTCCTTCTCTCTCCAATCTCCAAATGCTCTCAATGAATTTTTAAAAACCCAGCCTGAGAGAACGCCAAGTGTTGGTGAAAAGGTGGAGAAATCAGAAATCATGCACATTGACGTAAATTGGTACAATTACTTTGGGAAATTGTTTGACATTATTGTAATAGCAAAACTCAGGGGACAACCCAACAACCTAACTGTCCATCATTAGTAGAATGAATAAATAATTTTTAATATACTAATACAGTGGAAGTCTATACAGCAATGAAAATGAGAAAACTATTGCCACATGCCACAAACCCCAATCTGACAACATGATGCTGAGTAAAAGGAGACACAAAAAACAGAATGCAAAGTTTAAGATGGGCAACGCCAATCTGGAATTAAAAATCAGGAGACTGGTTGCCTTTGGGGAGGAAGAAAGGGGAATTGGGGGTAGGGAGACACAGGTTATTTCTTCCTCTGGTGTTTTCACCTTACAATAATTGATCAAGTTGTATACTTATAATTTGTCTACTTTTCCATATGCATGTTGCACTTAAGTTTAAAAAAAAAAGTGTTAGGAAACTGATTTGAAGAAGAGAAAAAAATGTTAAAGGCTAATGAAAACATGACCAATTCCTAATCAAGGGAATGGAATTCTAACATAATACAACTTTTCACTTTTTAGATTACAAAAATTAGACTGATAAAAACAATTGTTGAGGATAGACTGGGGGTGGGGGGTGGGACACTCTCATAACACTTGTCGACAGGCATGTATAAACAGGTACAGCCTTTTTGGAGAACAATTTGGTGGTACCTGGCAAAATGCAAAATGCTCACATCCTTTGTCCCAACAACTCTTGTTTTAAAGAATATATTGGCTGGGCGCGGTGGCTCATGCCTGTAATCCCAGCACTTTGGGAGGCCGAGGCAGGCAGATCACGAGGTCAGGAGATCGAGACCATCCCGGCTAACACAGTGAAACCCCATCTCTACTAAAAACACAAAAAATTAGCCTAGGCGTGGTGGCGGGTGCCTGTAGTCCCAGCTACTCGGGAGGCTGAGGCAGGAGAATGGCGTGAACCTGGGAGGCGGAGATGCAGTGAGCCGAGATCGCGCCACTGCACTCCAGCCTGGGTGACTGAGTGAGACTCCGTCTCAAAAAAAAAAAAAAAAAAAAAAAGAATATATCCCCAGAACTACTCATACAATTGTATAAAAATAAAAGATTGTGCACTGCAGAAATTTTTGTAAAAGTGAAAAACCTACAGATACTCAAATGCCATCAATAAAGGGATGGATGCAAAAGCAATGGGATAGCCATACAATAGAATTCTTAAAATTCAGGCTAGGCACAGTGGCTCAGCTCACGCCTCTAATCCCAACACTTTGGGAGGCCGAGGTGGGCAGATTGCTTTGAGCCCAGGAGTTGAAGACCAGCCTGGGTAACATGTTGAAACCCCATCTCTACTAAAAATAGAAAAACTAGCTGGGCATGGTGGCGTGTGCCTGTAGTGCCAGCTACTGGGGGTGCTGAGGCAGGAGGTTTGCTTGAACCCAGGAGGTCAAGGCTGCAGTGAGCTGAGATGGCGCCACTGCATTTCAGCCTGGACAACAGAGCAAGACTCTGTCTCAAAAAAAAAAAAAAATCTTAAACTTAATTACCAGTGAGTACAGGTCTATATATCTTGACAGGCAGTACACATACCTACTTTATGTCATACGTACTAGAAAAGGACACACACAAAACTGAAGACCAACGTTACTCCCAGCTCCCCAGCTCTCCCCTTTTCTTTTATAGACTTCAGTACTGCATTTTGTTTAACAAGCATGTCCTAGTTTTGCAGTTCTTTAAGGCAAAAAAAAAAAAAAAAGCCCATAAAGGAATGTAAACCAACAATGAATGGGCCTCACCTGGCTCGGCCTCGGTGCTCTGCGTACCAAGCAGTAATTCTCTCCTCCCACATTTCCGGAGTCATCTGATACAGATTTATTACCTACCAAAAAATAGAGCAAAATAAAAAACCTACACATGAAGTAAATTTGGTATTGTTTGCCACTTTTATAATTATGCATCATTTTTACAAAACAGTAAAGCTATTTTTAAAAAGCTACACCCAGGGAGATAGTCACACAGAGAGAGGGCGTGTAAATAAGGCACCATTCTATTGGAGGAGCAACTCAGAAAGCTGCATGATAACTCAGACCTAGGTGCAACCCTCATCTGGCAGTGCCCCTGTCCCTGCCTGGGCGATACATCACAGAGACCACCTCTGACAGCGGAGCTCAGTCAGAAGCAATGCTCACTCATCTCAGGCCTTCACATGCTCAGAAGCCATCGAGGGACAGGTAAAGAGAGTGAGAGGTGAGAAACGGGCCTTTATTACCCAGTGACAGATGAGTGAGGGCTGTAAAATCGGCAGGAGCAAAAGGGAGGGCGGGCCTGCTTCTGTGGCTAATGAATAAGATGAACAACACTGAGGATTAAAAACCACAATGCCCACCCCTACCTCATCTCCTCTATCCGCCCCTCGCCACTGCAAACAGCTCAATTCCCCAAGCTGAATACACTCTGCTCCAGCCTCCTCTTTGGGAATCAATGATGCTCAACTGCATCTGAAAAAACAACCACGCTAGAAAAAACATTTACAGGCCATGCTAGTCCTGGTGACCCCAAACTAACTCCAAAAACCTTTGCTTTTTAATATTCTTAACAGAGATCCCACACTGTTTACTGGAGATTACAAAATATTTATTAAAATTAAATTGCTATGTACTTCCAATATTCCTTCAAGTCCTTTGGTTAGCTTTCTTTTAGACCACATATCTGCTATGTCTTCCTGAAAAGGGAATTTAATCTCTTACCCTTTTTGGAAGCAATTCCTCTTGGGCCAAAAATCCCCGCTTGTGAACACTGGGGTCGTAGTCACCATACTGGAAAGAAGAAAGGGAGAGCAGGCGATTGAGATTCTAAAGATAACTGCCATTTCTGAACAGAGCTGGACCAATCTCATTCCCTCCCAGCTCCAGGGAGCAATTCAATTCCGATGACAAGTCAAGATTTCAACCTTGCTAGTTTGTTATCCTTGAATGAAAATACAAAGCTGATTATATCTATGAACTGAGTTGCATAATCCTGTAAGAGATGGATGGGTGATGTGCTAACAAGAATGTGACACTTGTATGGAAATGTGGGCATGTTTTCTAACCCTCAAAGAAAGCAGTCACTTCCAAAACAGTAGCTTTTGAATTAAAACACCAAATCACAACTGTGAAAGTTGTGATTAACAACATATGATAAGAGTCTTACCTATAAATTCTTATAAGTGACTGGTAATTGGAGCCCATTACTAGGGGGATCCAGGAATAATGCAGGCAGTAGTTTTAATACCTTTCACCCAAGTTTCTGAAAAATACTTTGGAAAAATCTGATGTCAACACTGCCATTCCTATTGTACAGACAAAGAAGTGAGTAAAAGGTTAATTGATCTTCCTAAAGCTACAGAGAAGTCACTAATGCGGTTGGAAATAGGCCCTGCATTTTAATTTATCCCTCCGGGGACAATGACTTGGAAATTTATTCTCTGATTAAAAAAAAAAACTCCTTTCCTAGAAAACTCAAGTCTGATAAGGAAATAATCAAAAGTTAAAGAATGTTTAAAAAGAAACTAACTGAAACATACAGTAGAATATAAAATCAAAGCCTATCTCTTATCAATCAGCGTACAGTGGCTCTTCATTTTACCAAAAACAACAAAGCTCAGTACTTCAGTATAATCTATAAACATTTATTCTTTTAGCCACCAACAGTGAAAAAACAAAGGTCAGGCACAAGGCTGCTGTTTCTATATACCACCAAATCTCATTATTTCGTTATGTTCTCTCATTCTCAAAGAGCCTCAAGTTAAGACTTCTGGTGTGTTCTCCAAATGAAGCGGCCTAAAACTACAGACACAGGAGTGAAAGAAGATATTCATCATTAACTTTAAATCATGTCTCATTCCCATATCACCTTAACTGTAAAAGCCCCATGAATTCATATTTCTTTTGAATCTCATAATTATCTTTCAAATAGCAGAATTGTATTGCATTGTTTTTTTTGAATCTTAAGAGAATTAATTTGTCAATTTTTTTTTTTTTTTTTTTTGAGACAGAGTCTCGCTCTGTCACCCAGGCTGGAGTGCAATGGCGTGATCTCAGCTCACCGCAACCTCCACCTCCCAGGTTCAAGCAATTCTCCTGCCTCAGTATCCTGAGCAACTGGGATTACAGGTGCACGCCACCACCCCGGGCTAATTTCTGTATTTTTAGTAGAGACAGGGTTTCACCATGTTGGCCAGGCTGGTCTCGGACTTCTGATGTTGTGATCTGCCCGCCTCAGCCTCCCAAAGTGCTGAGATTACAGGCGTCAGCCACCGCGCCTGGCCTAATTTGTCAAATTTAAACATTTTAAACATGCCACAGTTTTTGTAACACAGTTTAGGCATTTCTTCATTTAAAAAAATAGGGTGGGCACCATGGCTCATGCCTGTAATCCTAGGACTTTGGGAGGCCAAAATGGGAGGGTCACTTGAGCCCACGGGTTAAGGCTACAGTGAGCTGTGATTGTGCCACTACACTCCAGCCTGAGTGACAGTGGAAGACCCTGTCTATAAAAATAAAAAATAACTTAGAAATTATAAATGAAAGGCCTTGGTATCTCTCTATTTCTGGGAGGCTCAGAGATGTGATGCAGTAAGTCGTAACTGTACTAAGCTTTAACAGTACTCCCTGCAAGGCAGCTGTAGAGTGAGGGTAGGAGCCTGGCTCTGGAGGCAGGCTGCCTAAGGTTTTATCCTACATCTTTCACATAGTAGCTATGTGGCCTTGGAAATTTTTGTGTCTCAGCTTTCTCATCTGTAAAACAGGAATAATAATAGTATTTATCTTGCAGGACTCTTACAGGGATTTAATTAAATAAGACCAGCAAAGTTTTTAAAACTATGCTTGGCTGGGCGTGGTGGCTCACACCTGTAATCCCAGCACTTTTGGGAGGCCTAGGCGGGCAGATCACCTGAAGTTGAGAGTTTGAGAGCAGCCTGACCAAATGGAGAAACCCGTCTCTACTAAAAATACAAAATCAGCCAGGCGTGGTGGTACATGCCTGTAATCCCAGCTATTCGGGAGGCTGAGGCAGGAGAATCGCTTGAACCCGGGAGGCGGAGGTTGCAGTGAGCCAAGATCATGCCATTGCACTACAGCCTGGGCAACAAGAGCAAAACTCCATCTCAAAAAATAACAAAATAAAATAAAATAAATAAAACTATGCTTGACACATAAACCTGATGTCCAAAAGATCTCAGGTCTCTCCAAATCTGTCTTTCATTTGTCAAATGAGAGCACTGGCCTTAGAGGATCCTGAAGGGAAGTGGGGGGGTGCTGAAGTACCCCTTCTGAGGCCTTGAGTAAGGCATCCTCTCTCTAAGCCTCAACTTCCTCATCTGTAGAGTGAGGGTCATAATAGCATCTGCCTTATAGGGGATGATGAGGATGAAGTAAAACAATACAGGTAAGCATTTCGCACAGCACATGGCTTATGGTGAAAGTCAGGTATTATTATTATTGCCATCCTCTGCATTACTTATGACAACATTGATCATTGTTTGCCTCCTGGATTTTTGAAAGGGTAGGATGCTAAAAGAAAGCCCTGTTAGTTGCATTTGCAAATCTCTCAACAGTGCTGACCAAGCTCTAATGCAAAAGCAAGCAGATATGCAAAGTTAAAGCTGTAAATTCAGGTTCCAAAGGCATGCAAGATTAACAACCCCCATTATTATACCAAGTTCTCAGCTAGTCCACTGATCAAATACATCACATTTGAGCAATGCAGAGGTGGCAAAGACCCTGCTGAAAGAACTTCTCCACTGGACTAACTCTGCTTCCAACATTAAAGCCACCTTGATGTATGTGTCTGCTCTTAAATGTCTCTTTAAACAACAAGGGAAGAAAAAAATCCTGAAGTTGTGGTAGCTGGTGAATACAAAAGAAAGTCATACCACTCCAGGGATGGAGATGGCTGCTCCTCATCGTTTTATGTAACAGATGCATTCTGATAATGTAACCAGGGTGAATTTACTGGGAAGCTAAGGAAGCTTGGATTTCAGGTCTCTGCACCTTCATATGCCTGTACCTAATTTGGTACTCTTGCATTAAAGACAATCCCCTAAATTATTAAAATTCAGACCCAGAAAACCTGGACCTACTCGTGACATAAACTAATTGAATTTAAATTCAAGGAGTTTACCATTTAAAAGACTTGTGGAGCCAATACTTAGGTTAAACGGAGGCTCTATCTGGATATGAAATAATTTCCTGTCTATAACTATGAGAAATGAGATAAAATGCTCTGAGTAGGATTTCACAAAAACATAAAGGTTAGATTACTACATATATAGAAAAAAGACAGACCCCCTCCCTACTATACCCACACACCAGTCAATAAATTCTTAAACCTATAAATGAAAATCCATAAAAATACCAGAACAAAACATAACAGAGTATGGATATAATAATGGTTGGTAAACGCATTCTAAAAGTCACTCAAAACATACAAAGAAAAAGATTGACCAGTCCTATACGTAAAATAGACAAAAGGTTGATAACTCATAATACATGGAGCATCTACAAATCAATCGGAAAAAGATGAACAGGTTGGGTGCAGTGGCTCATGCCTGTAATCCCAGCACTTTGAGAGGCCGAGGCGGATGGATCACCTGAGGTCAGGAGTTCCAGACCAGTCTGGCCAACATGGTGAAACCTCATCTGTACTAAAAATACAAAAATTAGCTTGGCATGGTGGCGCATGCCTATAGTCCCGGCTCCTCTGGAGGCTGAGGCGGATGGATCACTTGAACCTGGGAAAGGAAGAAAGGAAGAAAGAAAAGAAAAAGAAACAGAAGGGGAGGGGAGGGGAGCAAAGGGGAGAGAAGGGAAGGGAAGGGAGAAAGAAAAGAAAAAGGAAAGAAAAGGAAGGGGAGGGAGGAAGGAGAGAGAGAGAGAAAGAAAGAGAAAGAGAAAGAAAGAAAAAGAAAGAAACAAACAAACAATACAGTAGTAGGCAAGTCATAAACGGTTGATTCACAGAACAAAGAAATACAAATGGACAGTAAGTTTATGAAAAGACGTTCAGTCCCAATAGCAATCAAGGAAATGCAAATTTTAAAAAATCTTTTTCTATCAATTAGCAAAAATTTTAAAGACTGATAGTATCTACTGTTCGCAAGAATGTGGAAAAACAGGTATTCTCACACACTGTTATTGAAAGTTAAATTATGACATCAGTTTTGGAGGGTGATTTGGCTATATCTATTTAAATTTTTTATTGAGATAAAATTTATATACATAAAATTTACATTAAGTGTACAATTCAGTGTTTTTTAGTATATTCAGAATCTTGTGCAACCATCACCACTATCTAATTCCAGAACATTTCCATCACCCCAAAAAGAAGTCCTGTACCCACTAGCCATCACTTCTAATTTCATTTTTAATCTTTGTAAGTTATATTTATTTTTAATTTTTAATGTTTGTGGGTACATAGTAGGTATATATATATTTGTGTGGTACCTGAG
Organism: Homo sapiens; assembly: GCF_000001405.40. NCBI lineage: Eukaryota > Metazoa > Chordata > Mammalia > Primates > Hominidae > Homo > Homo sapiens. The sequence continues at coordinate 29,649,980 of NC_000022.11, read as the reverse complement.
ATGTTTTGATACGGTGTGCAATGTGAAATAATCACATCATGGAGAATGGGGTGTCCATCCCCTCAAGCATTTATCCTTTGTTTTACAAACAATCCAATTATGTTCTTGTAGTTATTTTTAAGTGTATAATTATTATTGACTATAGTCACCCTGTTGTGCTATCAAATAGTAGGTCTTACTCATTTTTTCTTTTTTTTTTTTGTACCAGTGGCTCCTTTTTTATTTTTATTTTATTTTTCAGACAGAGTCTCACTCTGTCACCCCAGGCTAGAGTGCAGGGGTGCAATCTCAGCTCACTGCAACCTCTGCCTCCTGGGTTCAAGTGATTCTCGTGCCTCAGCCTCCTGAGTAGCTGGGATTACAGGCATATGCCACCACAGCTGGCTTTTATATATTTTTTGTCTTTTGTTTTGTTTTGTTTTGTTTTGTTTTTGCCTTTTTCTGGAGAAAGGGGTCTCGCTATATTGCCCAGGCAGGTCTCGAACTCCTGGGCTCAAGCTATCCTCCCACCTCTTGCCTCCCTGAGAGTTGGGATTACAGGCGTGAGCCACCGCACCCGGCCAAGTAGAGACAGGGTTTTGCCATGTGGCCAAGCTGGTCTCAAGCTCCTGGCCTCCAGTGATCCACCCACTTCAGCCTCCCAAAGTGTTGGGATTACAGGTGTGAGCCACCGTGCCTGGCCAGTATCAGTCACTCCTAATTTCCTCCTTCTCCCTTTCCCTGGCAACCACTAAATCTACTTTCTGTCTCTATGGATTTGCCTGTTCTGGACATTTCATCTACAGGTAAGTGGAAGCATAAAATATGTGGCCTTTTGTGTCTGGCTTTTTTTTTTGCTTCACATTACTTACATTTTAAATGTTCTTATTCTTTAACCCAGTTATACCATGTCTTGATATCTATTATAGAGAGATATTATCCATATATGCCCAAAGATGCATATTCAAGGATGTCCATTGCATCTGTTTCACCAATAGAAAAACAACAGAAAGAAAAACAAACCTAAATATCTACCAATAAAGATATATTTAAATAATCCAGTCCCTCCTTTCTATGAAACATAGTTCGGCAGTTAAATGAAAATGAGCTGGGGTCAGGTGCAGTGATTCATGCCTGTAATCCCTGCACTTTGGGAGGCTGAGGCGGGTATAGAGTTTGTGCCCTGGAGTTTGGGACCTGCCTGGGCAACAAGGGGAAACCCTGTCTCTACAAAAAACACAAAAATTAGCAGGGCATACGCTGAGGCTGAGGTGGGAGGATCCCTTGAGCCTGGGAGGCAGAAGTTGTAGTGGGTGGAGATTGTGCCACCTGGGTGACAGAGAGAGACTGCTGTCTCAAAAAGAAAAAGAAAATGAAGTGGGTCTATCTGTTGTGACAGTTTTAAGTGAAAAGGATGTGTGTGCAGAGATTCCTCTGGAGTAGCCACCTGGAACAGCCAGCGGTGTGTCTCCTCACTTCCACCCGTCCCTTCCACACTTGGTGCTCTACAGAGGTTATGCCAATTTCACAATCCCTTTGGCAGGTAAATGAGCACCAACAATGCAGTTACCCAATCTAGTAATCCCTGCCAATCTTATGGGTTTGAAATGTTGCCTTATTGTTGTTTTTTCTTTTTCTTGATTACCTGTGAGATGAAACATCTTTTTGTATTTATGACCATTCTTGTTTTCTCTTCTATAAAGTGCATGTTTCATGCCCTGTTTATAGCATTTGTCTTTTTATCAACTTAAGATTTTTTTTATATTGGGGTTCACCTCTTCTGTCAATTCTATGCAATTCTTCTTCTAGACACCTACCTTTTTTAATTTTTTTACTTTATTTATTTATTTATTTATTTATTTATTTATTTTGAGATGGAGTCTCACTCTGTCGTCCAGGCTGGAGTGCAGTGGTGTGATCTTGGCTCTCTGCAACTTCTGCCTCCCGGATTCAAGCGATTCTTCTGCCTCAGTCTCCCAAGTAGCTGGGACTACAGGCGCCCACCACTGCACCCAGCTATTTTTTGTATGTATGTATTTATTTATTTATTTTCGTAGGCACCTACCTTAAGGGGAAAAAGCATTTGCACATGTACATAAGGAATCACATAAAAGGATCTTCATTTGAGCACTGTTTAGATAATAAGGAAAAAGTGGAAACAAACTACCTCTCCCTCAGAAGAGGAACAGATAAATAAACTAGGTTTATTTATCAGTGGTTACCATATTAAATCAATTAAAATCAGTGAGCTACATCTATACACACAACATGGATACATCTCAAAGTAGATGCTGAGTGGGAAGAAAAATACCATTCTGTAAAAGGATATGAAAAAAAGGGATATGCAGAGTATAGCACCATCTAATCAACTTTTTATCTCCTGGATATTTTTAAATCAGTCAGCCCCCATCCAACCAACCACCTGAAGTGTGAACCTAATATTCTCTCACCAGGGCAACTATCACAGCCTTCTAATAGGTCTCCCTGTTTCCAAAGTTGTCTCACTCCAATCTGTCCATCACACAGCCACTACAGGCTCTATCTAAAATATAAACCCTTCACTGCATCGCCTACAGGATAAAGTTAAGACCTTTTAAGATCTGATTTTTTGCATACCTCTCCAGCCTCAACTCTTGCCACTCTCTACCTACACTTTACACACTCAATTTTCTAACTCAATTGTACTTTGGCACTCTGTCCCTGATTTGCATTAAAGAGTACTAAGAAACTAAGCTTCCCTTCCCACAATTCTTTTCTCTCTTCTGATCACTAGGAGTCTGCACACAGCAACATGAGATTCATAAATTATATGCCATTCTCTCCCAAAGTCATTTTCAATAAGAACACATTTCCAACACCAAATGGTCAATATACAATCCAACAGGTGACTTAAACATTGCAAGATGGTTTAGTGTGTCATGTGACTGCACCAAAAAAACCCTGACTACATTTTTTTTTTTTTTTTTGAGATGGAGTCTCACTTTGTCACCCAGGCTGGAGTGCAATGGCTCAATCTCAGCTCACTGTAACCTCCACCTCCCAGGTTCAAGCAATCCTCCTGTCTCAGCCTCCCAAGTAGCTGGGACTACACCACCACGCCTGGCTAATTTTTGTATTTTTAGTAGAGATTAGGTTTCACCACATTGGTCAGGCTGGTCTAGAACTCCTGACCTCAGGTGATCCATCCTCCTTGGCCTCCCAAAGTGCTAGGATTACAGGTGTGAGCCACTGTGCCCAGTCCCTGCCTACACTTTTGATTCAAGTATAACTCATATATGGTTCTTGTTAACTGAACCATGTGATTAGTATTGTATTTATACTTTGAGGGTAATTGTTTCTTTATGCTTTGGAATTAACTGTGTCTATATCATTCCAACAGCTGAAATACTGTAATGAATACATTTGTGCATAATTACATTCCATGTGTTAATGAGCTCAATTCGCTTTCCCTTCCACACTTCTAAAGTTCCTTTCTGTTTCAGAAAGGTTGTGGAAGAAAACAAGCTGAATATAATGGAAGGAACCAGTATGACTTACTGAAGAACTTAGACAAATGTGATCATATAAATGAAACTAGCCTTTAGTGAAAGGCAGTGGTTGCTACCCAAAGACCTCCCTCAAGCTAGACAGTGACAGGCAAGTGCAATGTGCTAACTTAGGCAGCCTGGACACTAGGGTTCCCATCCCAGCTCCACTCATTCTATTTGGCCTGAAATCCTCTCCATCGAGAAGTGGGCTAAAAATTTCATAAAAATAGGCTTAACATAAAAGTATTGTGAGTTTGCACAAGTCACAAATCCCTTTCTGAGCCTTAAATTCCTCATCTGCAAAACAGGCATAATACTCTCAAGCCTTGGCTTCTGGAAAGACTACACTGAGTGTCGCACAAAATATTCATTTGTATTGCTTTGGTAAAACTAGAAAACACTATGGGCATGTAAGATCTTATTAATATTATAATCAGATATCCTTTAACTATTAACCAGCAGTCCTAGAAACTGGAAGTATGTCATAGTAAGCCTTAGTTTCCCAAATGAAGACTTTAAGCCATAGATTACCTTTATTTGTAAGATCCTTAAAATTTACACCAGAAAAAATAGCTAGAACATCCTCCTCCATGTGAGCCACATATGTCGTCTGTGAATCACTTTCATCTCCAAATTAGTACGATCCAAATTAGCAGGGCTTTCCTACAGTGAAACCTGTTTAAGCAAACATCTGCTGGTTCACTGAAAAGTAATTTTTTTCTACAGGTGGCCTTTGAATTTGTGGCCCAAAAATCCATGGAAAGAAAATGTAGCCTTTGAGATGGAAGCCCTTCAAAGAGAGGTGGTGTCCTTGAGAGGCTGGGTCTGCTCTCGCTGGGGAGAAAGCGTGCGAAAAGGAACTCAACTCCAGGCCAGGAAGTGCTCGGATTTAATCAAAGTGCCAATGACTGCTTCATCACTGTCGGGGTGATACTGATTGAAAGGACACATTTTTCCTCTTACTAATATTCTTGATCAAAGCATAAAAGGAAGCATATGTTTTAGTTGAATGAGGGCCCATTTTCTGTTTTCTCAATTACTAATTTTTCAGGAAAGTAGAATATTGGAGGCACAAAATGCAATCTCAAAGCCATGAATTCTACCCTTCTGCTCTTAGCTTTGCCCAAGATTGTCTGAATGATCTTGGGCAAATCACTGAGGGCAGATACTTGCTTTAGTGCCTGCAACTATGAGATGGTCAACAACTCTCATGCTCTCTCCCCACCCTGGGCCTGATGAATACTCAGCAAATATTACATGAGCCATCAAATGATTAAATTGACTTTGGTGCTTCTATTGGTCTGACTAGCATGTATAGCCTTTTTTCCCCACAAATGACAGTTACTTCCTGGCTTTGATCTGAAATTGCATTAATCTACCCCAAAAAGTGAGTTAAGAGTATTTTATTATTTTTTCTAACCTTAAGGGAAATGGCTTCATGAACACCTTTAATTAAAAAGAAAAATAAGTGAAAAGATTATGTTTTAAAATCACACAAGTGCCCTCTCCCTCTCCCTCTCCCCATGGTCTCCCTCTCCCCATGGTCTCCCTCTCCCTCTCTTTCCACGGTCTCCCTCTCATGCCGAGCCAAAGCTGGACTATACTGCTGCCATCTCGGCTCACTGCAACCTCCCTGCCTGATTCTCCTGCCTCAGCCTGCCGAGTGCCTGCAATTGCAGGCGCGCGCCACCACGCCTGACGGGTTTTCGTATTTTTTTGGTGGAGACGGGGTTTCGCTGTGTTGGCCGGGCCGGTCTCCAGCTCCTAACCGCGAGTGATCCGCCAGCCTCGGCCTCCCGAGGTGCCGGGATTGCAGACGGAGTCTCGTTCACTCAGTGCTCAATGGTGCCCAGGCTGGAGTGCAGTGGCGTGATCTCGGCTCGCTACAACCTCCACCTCCCAGCCGCCTGCCTTGGCCTCCCAAAGTGCCGAGATTGCAGCCTCTGCCCGGCCGCCACCCCGTCTGGGAAGTGAGGAGCGTCTCTGCCTGGCCGCCCATCGTCTGGGATGTGAGGAGCCCCTCTGCCTGGCTGCCCAGTCTGGAAAGTGAGGAGCGTCTCTGCCCAGCCGCCATCCCATCTGGGAAGTGAGGAGCGCCTCTTCCCGGCCGCCATCACATCTAGGAAGTGAGGAGCGTCTCTGCCCGGCCGCCCATCGTCTGGGATGTGGGGAGCGCCTCTGCCCCGCCGCCCCGTCTGGGATGTGAGGAGCGCCTCTGCCCGGCCGCCACCCCGTCTGGGAGGTGAGGAGCATCTCTGCCCGGCCGCCCCGTCTGAGAAGTGAGGAGACCCTCTGCCTGGCAACCGCCCCGTCTGTGAAGTGAGGAGCTCCTCCGCCAGGCAGCCGCCCCATATGAGAAGTGAGGAGCCCCTCCGCCCGGCAGCCACCCCGTCTGGGAAGTGAGGAGCGTCTCCGCCCGGCAGCCACCCCGTCCGGGAGGGAGGTGGGGGGGTCAGCCCCCCGGCCAGGCCAGCCGCCCCGTCCGGGAGGGAGGTGGGGGGGTCAGCCCCCCGCCAGGCCAGCCGCCCCGTCCGGGAGGGAGGTTGGGGGGTCAGCCCCCCGCCCGGCCAGCCGCCCCATCCGGGAGGTGAGGGGCGCCTCTGCCCGGCCGCCCCTACTGGGAAGTAAGGAGCCCCTCTGCCCGGCCACCACCCCGTCTGGGAGGTGTGCCCAACAGCTCATTGAGAACGGGCCAGGATGACAATGGCGGCTTTGTGGAATAGAAAGGGGGGAAAGGTGGGGAAAAGATTGAGAAATCGGATGGTTGCCGTGTCTGTGTAGAAAGAAGTAGACACGGGAGACTTTTCATTTTGTTCTGTACTAAGAAAAATTCTTCTGCCTTGGGATCCTGTTGATCTGTGACCTTACCCCCAACCCTGTGCTCTCTGAAACATGTGCTATGTCCACTCAGGGTTAAATGGATTAAGGGCGGTGCAAGATGTGCTTTGTTAAACAGATGCTTGAAGGCAGCATGCTCATTAAGAGTCATCACCACTCCCTAATCTCAAGTACCCAGGGACACAAACGCTGCGGAAGTCCGCAGGGTCCTCTGCCTAGGAAAACCAGAGACCTTTGTTCACTTGTTTATCTGCTGACCTTCCCTCCACTATTGTCCTATGACCCTGCCAAAGCCCCCTCTGTGAGAAACACCCAAGAATGATCAATAAAAAAAAAAAAAAAAATCACACAAGTAAGACCAGGCATGGTGACTCAGACCTGTAATCCCAGCACTTTGGGAGGCCAAGGTGGAAGGATCACTTGAGCTCAGGAGTTCAAGACCAGCCTGGACAACATAGTGAGACCCCATCTCTATAAAAATACAAATAAAACATAAATAAAATAAAATCACACAAGTAATCAAGGAGCCCCAATTCTGGGGACAACATCTTGTGCTCTGGTGAAAGGCAGGGATCAGGGGAACCAAGAGAAGGTGATATATGACTGAAGTGAAAAATCTGAGGGACATGAAACTCCGTGGCTAACCCTCTCATCGGTCTTGTAAAAAAAAAAAAAAGGTCTATAGTGATTTAACGGAAGTGAACGATTTTCAGCTAACCAGACAGCTCAAGTGGGCTTGGTGGGCCACAGCACCTGCAGTGCTTAGCCACATGAACAGCTAGCATGTCAATCAGGGGCAGATGAAGCAGGGCATTCTCTGAAGGTGTAGTGTAGTGTCCACACACAAGGCAGCTTGTTTGCAAATGAGTTTGGAGTGAGGACCTGGGCCTTTCTGACCTAAAGGCCATGTTTGGCTAAAATTGGAGACCATAAATTCATTTTTCCTGGCTAATAGAAAGGTTGTACCACATGGTTGAGTTTATGGTTTAAAAAAAAAAAAGAAAAAAGGTTTTTCCAGTAAATGTCATAAACCACATGTACATAATGAGATTACACAGGAAATTCATCTTTCTGAATGAATTCACTTAGAATGAATTCTAATTCATTAGAACGATACTTATAATTTCTGCACACCACACACACACATACACACACACACACATACACACACAAGATTATACAAACACTGGAACAGTGACAGTGGTTCTTCAAGTCCACAAGTCCCATAACATCTCACTTTCTGGGGCAAGTCTCTCTGAAGTACAGAAAACCCAAAGAAAGAGAAGATAGGAGTGATCCCATGACCCAAATTAACGCCCAGGAAAAATACATTTTTCTTCTTTGAGCCTACCTTGGCCTGGACGGCGTAAGAAGCCAGGAGCACAGAAGCCTCAGGAGGGCAGTAGATCTTTTCATCTAAAATCTGCTTCTTTACCTGAAAGGAGCAACAAGGGAGACATGATACTCTGTGAGTGGAAGTGAGGTGTGTAGGCTGATCACAACAGATGGCCTCACGGCGTTCTAATGAGGGCTGCCAGAGCAGCCTGTTAATAATTTTCTGACAAAGGGTACAATTTTTTTTTTACTGATGCAGACAGGTGGAGAGTTCAGTCACAGAAGTTACTGGTATGACGGCTATGCATAAAAACCCCTTATCTCTTCTCTTCATGATCAATGCTGAAGAGTAAAAACGGTCTCTGTAGTTACAACAGAGGCTGTGTGACAGAGCGCTATGAACTCAAGAAGTGTCAAGAGCAGCTCTGGGGATGACTACAGCCTCAGCCCCTTTGAATATGCATGGCCCCAGAGGAAATGGATCTACTTTTAAGTATTAACACAAGACAAAAGTCACCAAGGCCACTGAGTTATGATTGCAGAAAAAACCATCACTCTCAACGTGCTGCTCTAAGGGAAAAGGAAGCAATAAAATTTGATCGATTCAACTTTTAAGTACACGTGAGGTCCAGGAAATATAATTCTTAAGCCATAATGTTGAATTAACATATTTCATTGCACTTAATTTTCTTAGAATGGTGCAACTTGGGATGTTCCAGACACAGAAGCAAGACAACTGCATGACGTGGCAGGGGGACACTGAAATAAACACAGCAGGAAAGCCAGCTCTCCTCTCACAGATGTCAACAGTCACCGGATTCATAAAAGCAGTAAATTTTGCCTTGCTCAGTCATAAAAATGCCTTAACATTTCAGTATGGGGAAAATCAAGTCAGTCACACAAGAGACAGGCAGTGCTTCCAAGTACTTACAAGAAAGCCATTTCTATAACATTAGGACATTCTGGGACCTAGGAGATTGTTAGGTGTTTACGTTCAAACACAAAAATTCTTCTTAGGTTTTAAAAGTGATTTTACATTCTTAGAGAGAAAATGAAACCTGAGATGTTTCTCAAGCAGTGCAACTTTCTAATCCCTTGGTTTCATTTCCAAAGAGAGGGGGGAAAAAGCAACGCTATAGAAAAACTGCAAGAACATCCCTTTTCTTTTGAGAAGGAGTTTCACTCTGGTTGCCCAGGCTGGAGTGCAATGGCGCAATCTCGGCTCACTGCAACCTCCACCTCCCGGGTTCAAGTGATTCCCCTGCCTCAGTCTCCCAAGTAGCTGGGATTACAGGCATGTGCCACCATGCCCGGCTAATTTTGTATTTTTAGTAGGGACGGGGTTTCTCCATGTTGGTCAGGGTGGTCTCAAACTCCTGACCTCAGGTGATCCACCCGCCTCGGCCTCCCAAATTGCTGGGATTACAGGCATGAGCCACCACGCCCAGCCTAAGAGTGTCCCTTTGATCTGCAAACATCAGAAATAAATTTGTCACCTCTTTTGCGCGTGCACACACACACACACACACACACGCCCCCCAGACCTTTTTTAAAAAGAATTTAGGGGGTTTTATTATATTTAACTTAATATTTGCTGACCACAATATACTGAGGCTGAAATTAATTACAGGAGGGCTATGTGACAGACTACCCAACTATCTCTGGGAAATCATGTAATTAATGCCCCTACTGCCATCTTTTACATTACTGAAACCTTTGAGCACACAAATAGCCCCAGTGCCAATCACTGCAACTGGCCATGAAACTGGGGAGCCACTCTGACCTGCAGTAAGAACATAAGTGAAACTGATAAGGTTTTCATCCTCAGACCAGTTCCCCTCCCTGTGCCTCTGGATGGTCAACCTGTAATTGTGAATTTCTTAATTTCTTCAATTCGGTGGGACAATTACTTATGGAATGCCTACTGTGTACTTAATGAGGCTTGCCTTTAAGGGGCTTACAATCTAATGAGGAATTAAGGAAGAAATAGGACAATTAGAGACACAGCATAGCATGAAGCACGATGTCTGAAGTACCACATATGGGGGACAAACCAAGTGTCACTAGAGCTCTGAAGTCCTCTTTTTTTTTTTTTTTTTTTTTTTTTAAGACAGAGTCTCACTCTGTCACCCAGGCTAGAGTGAAGTGACTCAATTTTGGCTCACTGCAACCTCCGCCTCCTGGGTTCAAGTGATTCTCCTGCCTCAGCCTCCTGAGTAGCTGGGATTACAGGCATGCATCACCATGCCTGGCTAATTTTTGTATTTTTAGTAGACATGGAGTTTCACCATGTTGGTCAGGCTGGTCTTGAACTCCTGACCTCGTGATCTGCCCGCCTCAGCCTCCCAAAGTGCTGGGATTACAGGGGTGAGCCAACCCGCCCGGCTGAAGTCCTTTTTTTTTTTTTTTTTTTTTTTTTTGAGACGGAACCTCACTCTGTTGCCCAAGCTGGAGTGCAGTGGCGCGATCTTGGCTCACTGCAACCTCCATCTTCCAGGTTCAAGTGATTCTCCTGCCTCAGCCTCCCGAGTAGCTGGGACTACAGGCACCTGCCACCACACCCGGCTAATTTTTGTATATTTAGTAGAGACGGGGTTTCACCATGTTAGCCAGATGGTCTCGATCTCCTGACCTTGTGATCTGCCCGCCTCGGCCTCCTAAAGTGCTGGGATTACAGGCCTGAGCCACCATGCCCGGCCAGTCCTCTCTTAATGAGAGCAGATTTTAAACTTTTGGAAGAACTACTGCTTTATAAGACTCTCTCTTTAGCCTTCCTTTGAAACTATTGAGTACTTTTAAGTTAGCTAGAAGAAAATAGGACCCATTTTCAAGGAGGTTTTAAGTTAGGTAGCTACTTGTATCCATTCTTCACCATCACACCTTCACAATTTCATCTGACACCAATTTTCATCACTCAAGTATAGTTCTGTTCTGAAGCCTTTTTTCCATTACAGAACCAAAGGGGCTGACCTTCCAGAGGTAGAATATTTTTGCAATACAAAGGTGTTTGTGGTCAACTCTGAGGCCAACTCTGCAACCACTCCTGGGCAAGTTCTCTCAGAACTGGGGGGTAGCCTTGACTGATGTACCTGTAAGAAGAATAAATGTTGTGTGATCTCCTGAACCAGCTCCTCTTCAGCATTCTCAGGATAAAATTTGGCCAAGAAGTGAAAGGTGACTGGTTCTTCCTTTGAAACATCATGATCCAGTACCTGCAGAATTGCAGAGCAAAAGACAAACACACTATATTGGCACTTCCTCCTGTGCTACCCTCAAAGAAGCCTTTGCAAGGCGTGCATTAAATTTTTTTCCCACTAAATTTATCACATTTCCTGAAAGTTGTGATTTTACAGTTTGAAGTATTCACAAAGTCACCTATAGCAAGAGGTAATATTCACTTCCTATGGTGTTTCTGAAACAAATTAATCAATAGCCCCAAGAAGTGAGCAGAGCTAGGATTAAGGCATAAATGTTCTCAGGGCCACAGAATAGTTAAAAACTAGAAATGTATCACTCAGCAGTCTTGGACACTGTCCTTTATGGTAGGTGGAAGGTTTTTTAATTATCTGAAGTAGTGGAATCTTCCTTTATTTCTTTTTTCTTGGTGCCTACTGCCAATATTTAGGTCCGTGATAGAATACGGCTTAGAGCGCTGGGCGTGGTGGCTCACACCTATAATCCCAGCACGCTGGGAGGCCACAGCGGGTGGATCACCTGAGGTCAGGAGTTCAAGACCAGCCTGGCCAACATGGTGAAACCCCATCTCTACTAAAAATACAAAAAATTAGCCAGGTGTGGTGGTGGACACCTGTAATTCCAGCTACTCGGGAGGCTGAGGCAGGAGAATCTCTTGAACCCAGGAGGTAGAGGTTGCAGTGAGCCGAGACTGCGTCATTGTACTGCAGCCTGGGCAACAAGAGCAAAACTCTGTCTTAAAAAAAAAAAAAAAAAATACAGCTTAGAGATGATGAACTAGATCATTATGAAGTCATCTAAACATTAACTGAGCAACAGAATAAAATGTGTCCATCATGGCAACCCTTTGTTTCAAGGAACCTCCAGAGATGCCCCACAAAATACTTGAAGCACAGTCTGTAAACCACTGCCTTTAAATCTTCTAACAATTCCATTCACCCCTGTAAAGCTTGAACCATCTGCTCTCCAGAGTGAATTTCAAGACATAAACACGCCATGTGACAGGCTACAAGGCTCCATTAACATGTGTCATGATGTATTTCCCTTGAGCAGCAAGTTCCACGGCTCCTGATGCCCCCAGTCTAATATCCATTTGGCCTACACTCAGCTATCATTAAAATTCACTTTGCTAAGAATCATGAAAAACATACAAAAAGTTTTGCTGTCTTTGACACATAACTCTCCATGCTCCTGCCCAAATTCTAGATGGCAATGCCAAGGAGATTCAAAATCTGGTCTACGACACCCTCACTGACAGTGGCCCCCAGTGGCACTTAGATGCTCATGATCATTGGGAATTACCATTGAACTTACAACCAGCAGGGATTCCCATGTGATTATTTAGATTACTGTGTACATATGTGAACACAATTCGAACACTTAAGCTTTGAGTCAAACTGGTAAAAAAAAAAAAAATAGGAAGCTTTCATTATTTATTATGCTCAGGTAGGCAACTGGAGGGGGCATCATTTGGGGTAAGAATTAGACATTGACTTACTTTGAAGTTCAGGTGTCTTTTAGGAGTTACTGACAAAAGCATATGGTCCTGCTCCCCGCCTGCCTTTCATGGCTAGGTAGGCAGGTCAGTAAGCAAGTGTATCCTTGTGTGAACATATGAACCCATGCAGAGGGCAGTTCCTTTAGGCAATATTCATTTCCAAGCCACATTAAAATTGCCAGGAGCCCAGCTTTCTTGGCCATGTGTCAGAAGCCCCAGAGAATCCTGAGGACAAAATGGACATTCTTTCACCCTGGGGACCAGGCACTCTCTATTCCTTAGATCATATTAATGATTACTTCATGTCAGACTATGGTGTTCCTCAAAAAGACTTTAAAAAATTCCCTAAAGAACACAAGCCCCAATACTCTCTAAAAGACACAAATTGGTTATTTTTAAGTATATGAAGATAACAGTAATTTTTATTCATGAAGTTTTTATTCATAAACTGAAAGGCATAAAGCCAGAAGCAATCAGGCTGGTAACAATGGGTAAAGAAGCCAGGGCCAGCAGCAGTCTAATCCTGGTAACTTCTGCTTGCCCAGGAGAGCCTGTGAGGAGAAGGAAACTGGTAGCATCTCTACGTCCTGCTTTCTGCATGACTTAATTCAGGAATGTGCCCCCTTCTCTACTATACAGCTACAGCGCCCCAGTGATGAGCTAGGCGCCTGCTCAGGGAAAAACTGGAAAGCTCACGTCAGCCCCACCAGTTTCATCGAGTTCTAGCCCAACCTTCTTGTCCATTTTGAGCCAGGCCACTGTGTCCTTGATTGTGTACTGCAGTCCAAAGAACCAGGTTTCTCGGAGCCCCAGAGTCCGGCACACCAAATCAAAGAGGTCCTTCCCTTTCCACTTCATCTGCAATAACAAACCAATGGGGAAGGACACTGTGAGCAAAAATCATTAATAAAACCTTTTCTCTGCACTCTCCACTCTCAGGTTCCAAAACGTGGGGATGACACTAAGACAGCTGATGAGGACTGAATTCCTAAATAATTTTAAAGCTTCCTTTACAAACCCATGAGTGGGAAAATACCAATTAGAGCTTAATGGCTTAATCACTGCAAAGCATACACAATACATCCCTTGGACAGTTCCTTACGGATTTTAACATCTCCAAAGCTGCTAATTTAGGAAAGCTGGTAAATAAGCATCCTCATTTAGGAGAGTCTAGCCTCTTAAGTTAACTCGGGGAGATGGCTAGCTTCTAGGGACATTCATTCCCTTGAAATTTTGTTGTTGATTTTTTTTTTAAATCATTACTTTGCCCTTTGATAAAAGGCTAGTATTCCTTTAAATAAGACTGGTTTTACTACAAGTTTTTTTTTAATATAAAGAAATCATAATCAAAGTCATAAATCATGGAGAAAAAGAACCATGAGAGACCAGACAGTCCAATCACAGGTCTGTCCTGTCAAGGATGCCTAACTGAGGCCAAAGGGGAAGCTACTCACCCAGTCACCCAGAGCAAATTCAAACTCCTGGTATCTAAACCCAGGTGACGAATAGATATCAATATACTGTAGTGTGTTTATCCTATAGCCTCACTTTCAAAAGAACCTGAAGCAATGGCAATCTCTTTTCTCAGCTATTCCATCTGCTATGTGGAAAAGCAAGTTCAATGTCTTAAGGGAAGAGAATGGCTGGCAACTTAGTAAATGTTGCCACCTAGTGGCTTTCAAGTTAAACCACCAGGATGTTCCCATACAACCCCTTAGTTGCTGCTTGCCCCCTCCTTGCCCCAACCACCCCTAAATATCAGATGGACATTCAAATACAAACTCGAGTGCATTAGGATCATATGAGATGCATCATAGAAATGGTGGTCATGAAAGAGTAATCTTTCGACAGACATGGGAAAAATGAGACCACTCAATTGCAGAAGCATCCGTCCCTTCCTGCCCTCATTAGAAATCTCCACTCAAAGTCTTGGCACACTGAAGATGTATATAATGAAAAGGAATGAAAAAAATTCTTAGGCAGCCGGGCGTGGTGGTTCACACCTGTAATCCCAGCACTTTGGGAGGCTGAGGCAGGCGAATCATGAGGTCAGGAGATCGAGACCATCCTGGCCAACATGGTGAAACCCTGTCTCTAGTAAAATACTAAAAAATTAGCCAGGTGTGGTAGCGCATGCCTGTAGTCCCAGCTACTCGGGAGGCTGAGGCAGGGGAATCACTCGAAACCGGGAGGCGGAGGTTGCAGTGAGCCGAGATCATGCCACTGCACTCCAGCCTGGCGACAAAGCAAGACTCCATCTCAAACAAACAAACAAAAAATCTTAGGGTTTAGAGACTTGCTATAAAACCAAGAAGGGAAAAATAAGTTAGACCTCTGATACCTGATTGGTTTTTGCTAAAACCTGATTCTACAGGGGAGTTTTCAAGTAGGCTTTTCATTTTTAACACATATGAATGAACAGTGGGTTCTCTACAAGGTACTCAACAGGAAAGCCCATCCCTTCTCTGTGTTTGCAGTCAAAGTCAAGCAAAGCAGCAACCTAGATGGAAGAATATCAGGACCACAGCAGACAAGTAGCTGAGATGCATACTGGCTTTTATCTTTTAGCAGGGCCGTTTCTCCTATCTGTCCTTCAACTTCTGCCCTGTCTCCTCTCTGACTATAGTGGGGCCACTGGAACACTATAAAGATTGAGGTCTTTAGGGATTATTTTGAGAAGAATAAAAGAAAATGATGAGTTTTATTTTTAACAGATGATCTCCTTCCTCGTTTTTAAGGCTGAGTAATGGGCACATCCATTTCCCAGTCTGACAATAGGACAAAAAGCTTTTTAATTCACCAAAAGTTTTAATTCCTACAGGCAGACTTCACTGAAGAAATGTTATTTTGGAAAACTAGAAGTTTCAGGATGCTGATTATCCTCTTGTCTCTATTTTAAGGCAGCTCTAGTATATAAATTATAAATGACTACCTTGCTACAAGATAATGTAACATTAAAGAACAGGCATTAACTTGGAAAAGGTAAACACCCAAGGGTTGAGAAGATCAAGGTAACGATTCCCAATCTGCCATAACTCATGGTCATGGCTGGGCTGGGCTTTGGCAAGAAGGGGCTGTCTGTAAGTGGGGTGTGCAGTGCAGAGAAACAAAAGCTGCCAAGGGAATGATGAGTGAATTTCCTGACATGGGAGTTTAAATTCTCCAGCATAAAATTGTATTAATGCAGTTTTCCTGTATTCCCTTCTACTTTGTTTTTAAAATGCAAAACTGTCTTTGTTGAATGCAAAAAGACAATGTATTTGTCCCCTTGGCACTTGCAATACAGTGAGAAGTGCATCAACTCTGACACCAATTCAGAATGCCCTACTTAGATTTTTAACTTTGACACAAAGGATCGTAGACTGTCAAGAGTTGGAAATGAGCATGAGTAATTACCTAATGTAGACTCATACCCTTTTTGTGCAAATAAGGAAACTGAGTCACAGGATTCTTTGCCAGCTGCCAAAGCATACACTGGCCTTTTTCACGGTGATCTAACATAGGCAAACCGCAGACCCTAGAGTGCCTCTTTTCCTGTTCTGTGGGGTCCCTTTGTTCTTGCTGTCCAGCACTCCCCAGACACCTTTTCCAGTAAGTAACCAGTGTTTGAAACAAAATCCATTCTCAGAAGAGTCAGATATTGCTCGTTTACAGCTCAATGTGAATTAAGCCTCTGTTACCTCCCACTTATTCTTTCAACAAGGATTATAGAGCACACCCTACATGCCAACCAATGTTAGACACTGATGCTACAAAATGGTGGAAGCAGTGTTCTGCAGGAGAAACAGGCAAGACCTAGGTCAGAGAAGGCTTTAAAGAGCAAGTGAGAGTTAGATGCAGGAGAGAAGGAAATAAGTCTTTTTTTAAAAGTCATGCTTTCTACAGGAAACTGCAAGTCATCTTGTAAAGCTTAAACAGACAGGAGGTGGCATGGCGGGAATGGGGCTCCATTTGGGACCAGGTGGCTCAACTTCAGCCAAAAGCTGCAAAGTCTTTGAAGACCCTTGAGCAGACGAGTCATAGGCTCCAATCTGCAATCTGGATGGGCTCTGACAACAGGGTGGAGTATGAGTTGAACAAAAGAAGCCCTGGATCAAGAAGGCCAGAAAGTAGGCCAACCCCTGACATAAGGAAGGCAGTAGAAGGGAGAGAAGGCAGCCTGAGAAACGGAAAAGAGGCAGAGTCACAGAACAGGTGCCTGAACAGGACCAGAGGAGACAGAATTAAGAGGGACACCTGTGTGTCTGGCTTGAGTACCAGGTGGTTCCACTAAAGGAGAGATGGAATCAAGGAGAAGCAGCAAATCTGGCAGGGATAGACCAGCAATTAAGTTTTAGACAAGATGAGTGAAGGTGCCTGAGGAAACCAAGTAAAGACGTTCAAACATATTTGATTTAAAGCCCTAATTCCACTTATAAAATAAAATTTTGTCTTTAAGCAATTAAGAAGTCTTTCTGTTTGGTTAAATCTAACCTCAACATGTTGCTACCTACATCAGGTTCCACTTTCCAACAAGCCCTTCCCCAAATGCATGAGGTTTGCTCAGTCTTCCTAATTTGGGTTTCTACTTCTTTAAAAACAAGCGCCATTGGTCACAGTTGCTCTGGGTGGTTCTCAGGACACCCTGGGAAAAGAGGTCTTGGGGTGTGGACGGGACTTCCAGGTGTCAGCCAACTTGCCAGAATATGACCAAGCTCATCTTCAGTGTCATCACTCATCCACTATACCATGCTGATGCTGTGAAGTGACTCACTGTCCTCTGAACATCTCCCGAGACTGTAGGTGCCTCAGCACAAGGGCAGTATTAGTCCTCTTTCTGCTCCCCACAGTGCCCAGGCAAGTGTGTACATACAAGACATGGCAAACAATGGCTGTCCACAGGACGGACTGTGGACGGACTTGACTACTTCAAAAACCCAAAACTCAAAGACTTAAAGCCAGTTAACTCCCGCTCACCCACCTCTTCCACAAATAGTTAGTGAACACACACATTGTGTCCAAGCACCGCCCAAGGTGCAGGGGACAAATGGGGAAAAAGAAACAAGTCTCTACACTCAGAGGACTAGGATATGAACTAGCTGGGAAAAGATAATCACCTCCTTCATCGCACACATAAAAACCCCAGGAGTGGGCTTTCAGCACTATAACACTTGTGAGTGCCACAACAGGACACCCAGCGGCTGTGGGAACCTCCTATCCTGGGCAGGTAGGGAAATGACATCTAAACTGGCTCATGGTAGAAAAGAGGAACCAAGTGAAGACTGGGCTTGGGGAAAGAGGAGCAAGCAGGTAAGTATGTTCCAGGCAGAGGGAATAGCATATGCACAAGTCTAGAGGCAAAAAAGAGGTCAGTCGTCCTTACAGGAAATGGGAGTAGGATAGTTCAGTCTGGCTGGAGGATAATGCTATGTTTCCAAAAGGACCGAAACTACCATCTAAAATCAAGAACAAAAAAAACAAAATAAAAATAAATACATAAAATCAATTCTTTGTCAACTAACTCTACCTATCTCATCTGAACCAAAAAACACAGAAAGTTATCTGGTGACCATTTTCTCCATTCTCCCAAGTAGGGAACACACTAATACCATTCTAGAAACAAGAGAGAAGTTAAATTGTTACCTAAGATGGATGCCTCAGGACATGAGGGCTTAATCTTTCCAGGAACTAGTCTAAAAGGAATATAGATAAGTGATGGTTGTCTCCATTGGTATGAATCTCTGCACTGTCACTGTGTGACCTTGGGCAAGTGACTGAACTTCCTTGTGCTTTGCAAAGGGGATAATAAACAGAACTCGTCTTAGCAGATTGATCTAAGGATTAAGTGCATTGATTCATTTAAAAACCCTAAGAGAGTGCTTGGCCCATAGCAAATAAATACTCAGTAAGGGGTAGTTATTGTTAATTGTAACTCTGCCACCTCTCCTTAGATTCTCAAGTGGCACTGTTTAAAGCCTCCCAGCCCTGCTTCACACCAAGGATGATGGATGACAGATCACAAAGGGCACCATCAATTCTCACTGAGCTAACCATACTATCAGTCATTTGACAAACCTTTATTGAGCATCCACTACGTCCTGGTCATTGTGCTCAAAACAGGAGAAAAATGATGAATTGAGGACAAGACACTGTCCCTGTTCATGTCTGACAGGGAAGACAGGTAAATGGATCACAAAAATGCAACCTGGTAAGTGCTAACAGAACAGGGTACAGTGGCAACACAACTCGGGCCTGGGTCTCCGGGAGTAAGGTCTTTCCTGAGGAGAGATGCTGTTTGAGCTGTATCTTGAAAGCCAGGGGGGTAGTTGAGCTGTGGTGAAGGGGCTGACAATAGGGAGGTCACGCCAGCCTGAGGGAACAGCAGGTCTGCCACTTGGGTCCAAGCTGTTGCAAAGTGAAGGAATGTTCTTTGCACTTTTCTAGTATCTGACAAACAGCATAATTATCCTATCTGCAGTACTGAATGTTCAATGCAGTACTGAATATGCAGCTTCAGCCCAGTGCGTGTGACAATTCTGACTCTCCACGCTGATTAGGAACTGGGTTGTTCAGTCACTGATTCGAAGCAATGATGCATCCTGCAACAATACCTGTGGGGCTCCAAGAACCTAGGACTAGTGGGATGAGTCTCATGTTTATTTTCTGGTTAAAAAATGTTCTTTTTGGATAACTGATGGCACGTAACGCTTTCAGGCCCTGCACTCGTGCCACTTGAGGGCCTTTTTGTTAGGGTTTATCATTTTTCCTCAACAGGTTGCCAAAAGAACAGCTCCTGGTTCTGATTAAATGCTCATTTAACCCCATCGCTTTCCACGCAGCCAAAGTGTTCAAACTGCTCTGGATCCACCACGGTTCCCTGCCTCATCTCAGCCTAGTGACGAAGAGGGAGGCTAAGAGGCAGATGCTCATTTTGCAGAAGGAAAGAGAGAGGTGGAGGGCGTGAGAAAGGTGACTTGCGGGAAGAAGAAAGAGAGAAAGGAGCACAAATGTGGACTCCAATGCCTGGAAGCTCCCTTCCACAGACCTCCTCCTCAAGGTGCCCTTCAGGCATAGAGACTAATAGGAGGAGTCTGGAAGTCGGATGCTTCTCGCCTTTGTGGCTGTGCTCACCCATTACTTTAACAGGCTGCAGTGCTATTTCATAGATATATACTTGTGCCTATATCATGGATAGATGTGTATGAACTTTATAAACAGGACTAAGTGCTATCAGCTTGCTATTTTTTTTGTAGGAGCTGGATTTATGAGCTTTACCCAGAGTGAAGGGCTTGTAATTTATCAACCTAGAATGTTTTAAGTAAATAGCACTAAGCACTTATGTTCCACAGCAGGAACGTAGCTGGAATGCAGTACTTTTCTGTTATAGGAAGCAACCAGCACCAATAACCTGCAGGACTGATTGAGTTCTATTAACCAGGGAAGCATTAGGAATAACATCTACTGAACAGCCATCTTGCAACTGGCCAGGTTGAGACTCAACCTTAAAACTGCTATTTGTTTTTTGCTTTGACAGCTGCATTTCTCCCACTGTTTTCTTTGGGACATACAGTCATCAGCAATCAAATCCTAGTACCTGCTGATACAACAGTGCGGGGTGAGTAAGAAACCAGACCCATGACAGGAAAAGGCCACAGTTTGAAAAGGACAACTTTCTTGAAGAAAGTGAACTGAATTTGGCTACTATATATGAAATGCCTAGGTATTAGAACCTATGGAGAAATGTTGGCTTTAAAGAGAATACTAAAATGTGGAAAAAGCTAAGAGAGAAGCAATATTCCCTTTCATAGGGGTCTGGTGGGCTAAATTATCAGCCACACGAAGAATGCCGTTTCAACGGCTGTCTCCTCTGCAGAAAATGAAAGAGAATCGACAAACTCAGCATTCACTTATCAGTTTCTTCTAATTAGCTCACAAGCTGCCCTAGCATTTGCCATAAAAATTGTCAAAAGGTTAGCTCCCATACAGATAGAGCAACAAAAGGAACGGCACCACCCCAGGCTCAGGACATGTGCCACGTGTCTGCCGTTATTTCAGAAATGGAAAACAAAGGATGATGTGATCTCCCCTCTCAATGTTTATCTATAACTGACTTCTGCAGCCATAGCTGGCCTAAGAGAACAGGTTTATAGGAGACTTGAGAATTTAAGATGCTAATATACCAGATCCAAACCTAACCTGAATACAACTTTTGTCTGTTTTGAAAAATAGAGGCCAAATACCTCAATTTACAAGAAAAACACAATGGAAAGTTATAAAAGTAATTTTACTGTACAGTAAGTGAATAATAAATTCCATTAAAATCTATTTTGATTAAGCGAAGAAGATAAAAAAGTGCAGTAATATATGTCTGACACTGATAATCTCAATTCAGGGTATGGTATCACCACACAACAAAAGCTGTTCTTGTGTCTCATGATTAAACCGCAAAACCATCATGCCGTTTCCTTTCAAAATTAAAGGATACACCACACCTCAGCCATTATTCTCAACATGAGGGGAAAAGAGATCCACCAAATAGAAATAGATCACAGGACAACACCTGTGAAAAGTGTGGGAAAAAAAATAGATCACAGCAAAAAGAGGGGAGTGGGGAGAGAGAGAGACTTTTTTCCTCTGCTGTACCAATCCTGAACCCCACATCCTTCATTTAAATCTGGGCAAGATCTCACAAACTTGGAGGCCAGGCGCAGTGGCTCATGCCTGTAACTCCAGCACTTTGGGAGGCCGAGACAGGTGGATCACCTGAGGTCAGGAGTTCGAGACCAGCCTGGCCAACATGGTGAAACCCCGTCTCTACTAAAAATACAAAAACTAGTTGGGCGTGGTGGCGCATACCTGTAGTCCCAGCTACTTGGGAAGCTGAGGCAGGAGAATCGCTTGAACTTGGGAGGCAGAGGTTGCAGTAAACCAAGATCACGCCACTGCACTCCAGCTAGGGTGACAGAGCAAGACTATCTCAAAAAAAAAAAAAAAAAAAAAAAGATGTCACAAACTTGAAAGCTCCTCTTTGCAAAAAATCCCAACTGTAATCTCTTGCCCTGTCAGTTTCTGCCATAATCAACTACAGCAAGTAATTTTCTTCTCCCAGTTCTCCAATCATCTCTGTTATTATGCCAAATCTATTTAATTACTGCCTTCAACTCTTCACCAATTTCTTCCTCCCTCCTTCAACCAATTACCCTACCTTATTACAACCCAGCCTATGTCCTCCCATGTCAGCAAACTTATGTGCTTCCATTTATTTGTAACTAGACCTTTCTAAGATCTATCCCTTTGTCTCCCTGCTGTCCATGTCCCCCAATGCCACATACATGAATCAGTATGGGCTTTACACATATTGAAAAATGAGGTACTTGTCTTTCCCCAAGTTTTCTGTCTTTCCTCCAGTTCTGCAGATCACAAACTCCTTGAAGGCAAGGGTGTACACACACACACACACACACACACACACACACACACACACACACAGATTAAGTCTCCCAGAACCCTGGCAAGTGCTGCATAATCTGTGGATACTCCATAAATGCTTGATGCTTGTGGTTGGTTGACGATGTTGATGATAATCATGATAACTAGATGAGGCTTCTGAGCAGAACAGTCTTCCAATTAATGATTGCAATGAAGCAAGAATTTATGACACTCGTTATTAAAAATGTAATTGCATAATTAGGCCTTAAGGTATATATTTTACCCCTTTGGTGAAACATACTGATTTCCTCTCTCTAAAAATACCTTGGCAAGGAAATCTAAATCTCAAACAACCAAAGAAGAAAATTTTCCACAGAACAAAGGAGACTAGTAAGAAACAAATCACAGCACCTTGGGAAGCCACAAAATGGAGCTTTTAAACTCTGGTAAGTCTTTCAAAACCAAATGAATTACAGTTTTTTAGGGGAAAAAAAGGCCTTATGCTTGCAGTTTCTGGCATCTTTCCC
Source organism: Homo sapiens (assembly GCF_000001405.40). Classification (NCBI taxonomy): domain Eukaryota; kingdom Metazoa; phylum Chordata; class Mammalia; order Primates; family Hominidae; genus Homo; species Homo sapiens. Next base: position 29,627,673 of record NC_000022.11, on the reverse strand, counting down.
GCTGAAGTGCAGAGCAGTTATGGGAGCGGGAGGAACCCAGCAGGGAGGTCTGTATCCTAGATTCTCTGCCTCAACCACACACAAGTCTATGACTTGGGTGTGCCATGCAGCTCAACCGGGCCTCAGTTTCTTCATTTGTAAATCTCTTATGAGCCATGCAATCACCATATTTTACTATGCTGTAAACAAAGAAGATTCACTTCAAAGTTGACTGACAGATGACAAAGCAAAAAGAAACAATACAACCATCATGCTATGAAAGCAATACAGTCCCCACAAAAGCAAACACGACAATATCTTTGGAATTTAGCTCACAACATGAGAGCAATCATAGCTCATATAGTCAAACAGCTATAAAACACCCAAACCCGCTGTGCTGGGTAAGTCACTTAACCTCTTTGGGTCTCGGCTTCCATAATCATCAAGTGGTCTTCAGGATTAACACCACTCTCTGAGTCTATGAGCTTGACATGACTTTGTATAAACCATGTAGCATTTTTCATTGCTACGATAATTTTCTTTTGATCCTTTAACATCTCATTCTGTATCTTAAAATCATTTTCAGGGATGTAAATGACTTCACCTTTAGTTTATGTGTGGTTTCACATTCTTTTCCCTCATTCAGGGTCTGCTATTACGTTCCTTACTCCTAATAATCATGAGTTGACTGTATAATGATGAACTCTCTGATGTAGTAAAATTGGGAATGATAATGCTGCTGAAAAATAGAAGTTCTTATCACCTAGCATGTTATTGATATTCAGTGATTGGCAATGATTACAAATGTGTGATATACTGAGAATAATTTTGCAGAGCACTACAAATAGGAAACAATAGTAAATTCAGCACAAATAAGGCACAAGGTTAAATTTCAAATGCCTAAACATCAAGTACAACTAGCAGATTACGAAACACAACCCCTGACTAAGTATCAACCAACTGGTTACTCCTGCCCTGGACAATGTAAAAATTGTGGTTAGTATGTAACAATGCATTCCTTCAAAAAAGCTCCAGCACAACAGAGCTAGAGCATGATCCATTCATGTGAACTAGCTTCTATTGAACCCAGATGTTTGCCTGGAAAGAAATTTTGAATATTCTCTGTTTCTAGCTTGACCTTTTGATTAAGTCTCATGGTCATCAATGATAATAAAACTGACTTTAATAACATTAGAAGGTACAGGCATGAGTGGATAGGACTGGTAAAAATATCTGCAGATGGGGCTGGGCGTGGTGGCTCGCACATGTAATCCCAGCACTTTGGGAGACCGAAGCGGGTGGATCACGAGATCAAGAGATCGAGACCATCCTGGCCAACATGGTGAAACCCTGTCTCTACTAAAAATACAAAAATTAGCTGGGCGTGGTAGCAAGCACCTGTAGTCCCAGCTACTCGGGAGGCTGAGGCAAGAGAATCGCTTGAACCCAGGAGGCAGAGATTGCCATGAGCTGAGATGGCGCCACTGTACTCCAGCCTGGTGACAGAGTTAGACTCCATCTCAAAAAAAAAAAAAAAAAAAGTCTGCAGATGGATGAGAACTACCGTGGGCTGAAGACTAACATATTTATGAGACTGATTTAATCTCAAAATCAATATGATTAAGCAAGTAGGGAGATGCACTGTTGGTGAATTTAAAACCACAGATCAGTCGAGATACATTTAGTAATTACTTTGGGCTTCAGTTTTAAGTTTTATCTGAATGTCAAACTATCAAAACTATTGAAACAAGAAGACTAAAACAGGCAAGGTGGAGGGAAAAGCTATAAGCAACATAACTCACTAAGAGAAAGTTTATATGAAGTTTTCAAAGCTCGGTCCAAATTTGGCAAAGAAGCAAAAAAGAGAACAGTGGCAAAAGAGTTGGAAGAGAAAAGGCTGTCTTTAAAAATGATGCAGTCTGGCACCACCTAGTGGTGCCACACAGATTCCTGCACTAGGACAAGCACCTTGTGTCAACATGAGTGACTAAAGATTCCATTAAAAATTTTTCCCTGAAGTCAGCACTACTTTGGTAATAAATTTTGACACGCTAAAAATGTCCTAAACATGTGGATTTAGAATCTAAATTAGACAAAGCACAGACAGGAGGACAGAACACATCATCCTGTAACAAGAATTGAGAAGCCTCGTCACCAGCTGGCTAGAAAGATTAGCAGCTCTGAGAAAACTCAATTCTGGGTTTTTAAAACCTCAAACGCTTTAGTTTATGAAATTAAAAATAAACAAGCAGCAAAAATGTTCTTGGACAGGAATGCAAAACTAGCATGAATAACTGGAGAAGTCATCAAAAACAAAGAAAAAAGAAAAATTTCAATATGACACACTAGGGACAAAAGAATGCAGAATAATTAACTATGGCAGAAATCCGAAAAGAATCCTGCTATCACCGTGGACATCAAGCTAAATAGAGATTGTATTACTTAGCATGTTACAAAAAAGAAGATCTGGCCGGGTGCAATGGCTCGTGCCTGTAATCCCAACACTTTGGGAGGCCGAGGAGCGTGGATCACGAGGTCAAGAGATCGAGACCATCCTGGCCAACATGGTGAAACCCCGTCTCTCCTAAAAATACAAAAATTAGTGGCGCACGCCTGTAGTCCCAGCTTCTCGGAAGGCTGAGAAAGGAGAATCGCTTAAACCTGGGAGGCAGAGGCGGAGGTTGCAGTGAGCCGAGATCTCACCACTGCACTCCAGCCTGGCAATAGAGCAAGAAAAGAGAAAGAAAGAAAAAGAAAGAAAGAAAGAAAGAAAGAGAGAGAGAGAGAGAGAGAAAGAAGAGAGAGACAGAAAGAGGAGAGAAAGAGAAAGAAAGAAAGAAAGAAAGAAAGAAAGAAAGAAAGAAAGAAAGAAAGAAAGAAAGAAAGAAAGAAAGAGGACCCTTCAACAAGAACATGGCATAAGGTGAGTCCATTTTATTTGGACTAATTATAGTTTAGAGGGTCTACAATTACAAAGGCATGGACAATCTGAATAAGGTTCAAAGAAAATGAAGGCAATGATTAAAGGAGAAAATTCACAGTGCTTCTGGCATGAGACACTTCCTGTTCCCACACTCCCAGCCCATGACAACATAGATAGGTAACATTTATCAAATGCTCACTACGGGTCAGGCCCTGAACCAAGTGCCTGTAAAGGTCCACCTCATTCATGTCTCAAAACAACCCTGGCCAGGCACGTTGGCTCACACCTGTAATCCTAGCACTTAGGGAGGTCAAGGCAGGAGAATCACTTGAGGTTAGGAGTTCCAGGCCAGCCTAGCCAACATGGCAAAACCCCATCTCTACTAAAAATACAAAAATTAGCTAGGCGTGGTGGTGCACTCCTATAATCCCAGCTACTCAGGAGGCTGAGGCACGAGAATCGCTTGAACCCGGGAGGCAAAGGTTGCAGTGAGCCGAGATCGTGCCACTGCACTCCAGCCTGGGCAACAGAGGGAGATTCCGTCTAAAAACAAACAAACAAAACAAAAAAAACCCTATAAAAAAGATACTATTATTCTCATTTTATAGATGCAGCAACTGAGGTTTAAAGAGTTAAGTTCAAGGTCACTTGGGAAGCAGGTAGCAGAGGCAGGGCTTTTCCCAGGCCAATTTACCCCTTCCATCAGGGCTGTAGCTCTTATTCTTTAAGCAATATTCTTCCTGTCCTCTAGCAGACTTCCTCATGCCTATACACTCAAGTCTTGAGATGACTTCCTACCAAAGCAGGAAATATGAAAGGGAGAGGAGCACAGTGAGACTCTTCTGCCCAGATCACCTAAAATAAGACGCTAAAGCTGAGGGCCTTTGAATGTGAGTTCTTCCCCTCATCTTTCAGAAGAACTGAGGCCTGGGGGAAATAAGTGATGCGCCCAAGGTCACACGGTGGAGCTCTGCCTAGAAGCCTGGTGTTCAGACATCGGTTTAGGGATCTTGATGATTTTACACAAGTAAAACGATGCAGGAACCAGACAAGAGAAAGTGCACTGACTTCCTGAGCTCAACTCTGGCCAGCTTGATCCAACTTCCCTTCTGCCTGACTGACTTCGGAGACTGAGGACTGGCTTTGGACCTGAGAATCTCCTGAATCTTGAGCCTAGCAGGTCTTCTGCTCATTCTTGGTCACAGAACACCCTAATCTCTAGATTCACTAGATGCTTACATCTGCCTAGTTTTGTCCCAACCCCCAGCAAGTCCCACTGCTGTTCAGGTTTCAATGTGATACCTTGCCCAAAGCGTTTGCCTTCTAATTGTTTCCTACTTCCAACCTCTCTCTCCCTACCCCAAACCCCAAACGTTCCAAATCATTTTGCATGCCAACCACTTTAAATCACACTTCTAGTAAAAACTTCAAAGCTCTTCATCGCATCTGATGAATACAAGCCTCTTTAACCTGGGCTTCATGAGCCTCCAATATCTAGCTTGAAGCTACCAATTCACACACATCTCTAGCTGGGCATGTTGGCTCATGCCTGTAATCCCAGCACTTTGAGAGGCTGAGGCGGAAGGATCGCTTGAGCCCAGAAGTTCCAGACCAGCCTAGGCAACATAGCGGGATCCCATTTCTTCAAAAAAATTAGCCAGGTATTGGTGGCATGTGCCTGTAGTCCCAGCTACTTGGGAGGCTTAGGCAGGAGAATCACTTGAGCCCAGCAGGTCAAGTCTGTAGTGAGCTGTGATAGCACCACTGCACTCCAGTCTGAGTGAGACCCCATCTCGAAAAAAAAAAAAAAAAAAAAAAGGCCGGGCACGGTGGTTCACGCCTGTAATCCCAGCACTTTGGGAGGCCGAGGCAGGCTGATCACAAGGTCAGGAGATCGAGACCGTCCTGGCCAACATGGTGAAACTTCGTCTCTACTAAAAATACAAAAATTAGCCATGTGTGGTGGTGCACACCCATAATCCCAGCTACTCAGGAGGCTGAGGCAAGAGAATTGCTTGAACCCGGGAGGTGGAGGTTGCAGTGAGCAGAGATCACGCCACTGCACTCCAGCCTGGGCGACAGAGCGAGTCTCTGTCTCAAAAAAAAAAAAAAAAAAAAAAAAAAATACAGGGTCTTCCAAAACTGAACTGTCAGTGAGAGGGAAGCGGATTGTAAAAGTCAAAGAAACAATGTCGTCTGAACAGTTAACTAACTTTTCAAAATCCATACATGAAAGAGTCTCAGAATAAAGATGTTACCAATTGCTATCTAGGTGGGCATACCAAATATTATAAGACACCAGGCTGAATACAGGCAGGAGCATTCTGACTATGTTAAATATGCAACTAGACAATGCTTAACTGTTATAACATAAGCCTCATTTTAAGCCAAAGGTAAGGAATTCTCATTATATCATGAGCAAGTGAAAATGATTCACTTACAGAAAATGTCCACTTGATTCAAAATGACAAACTAGACACTGAGGTAATGTAGCACGGATCGTTAGTCATGTCATTCATCCGGCAAAAATGTAAGCCACTGGCAAGTTTACAAAATGCTTTTGAGATAGTATCATACACCAAATGCAATAAAATAATGCCATAGGCAAATAGTTGTTAAGTTGAGGAAGTCCTTCAAATGATCTCTTCTTTCCACTTTCTTTTTCCTGTTTACCAAATACCTAAGTTCTCTCCAGGTTTCTAACTTTTTCTCTCCTACTTCTCTTTTACGCTTCCTATTTGGGTAGCATAGGGTAGTGGAAAGAGGGCTGGCCTGAAAGACAGATGACCTGGCTTCAAATCTCAGTCCCATCACTTAGAAGCTATGTGGTGACTTTGGACACAAAGAAGAGGAAACCCTTGAGCAGAGCCTAGAAGGAGAATGAGTTCAGTTCTGCCAAGCAACAAATGAGAATGGCATTCCAGGCAAAGAGAACAGCCTATGCAAAGATGTGGCAGTGTGAAGGAGGGACCAGGATAATAGGCTCAGAGCAAGAGGGTGCGTGAGGAAGTGGAGGAGAGGCTGAGAAAGGGAGCAAGCTAACGACAGGCACTGAACTTATTTCCTTTTTATTTTTTTAATTTATTTTATTTATTTATTTTTTGAGACAAGGTCTCACTCTGTCACCCAGGCTGGAGTGCAGTGGTGCAATCAGGAAGCTTATGGCAACCTCGACCTCCCAGGCTCATGTGATCCTCCCACCTCAGCCTCCCGAGATGCTAGGACCACAGGTGCACACCACCACAACCGGCTAATTTTTGTATTTTTTGTAGAGATAGGGTTTCGCCATGTTGCCCAGGCTGTTATTTCTTTAGGTAACAACCATTATATATAGCACTTATCTTGTGTTAGGTACTATTCTACGTACTTTACCAGTAATTACTCAAATTTAATTCTTGTAACACTATGCAGGAAGAATTAATTACATTCACCATTTTACAGTTAGGGAACAGAGGCATGTGAGGGGGTTAAGGAGCTTTAAGGTTGCAAAGCTGGTTAGAGGCAGAGCCAGGAATCAAACTCTGAAGTCTATGCTTGTAATCTCTAGGCTATGCTGCCTCAGCGGCCCCAACAAGGAAACTGAAGCTTGAGTTAAGATTTGCTCAACTTACATGTCAGCCTCAATGTGAGGTTCAAATAAGCAACTGCAGGCTTTACTGGTCGATATTAAGTTAAAGGGTGTGCCCATCTATTCTCCCTATTCTCTCACTACCTACCTGTCCCTGTCCTATTCTGCCTCTTTCAGAATAGATAGTGGCTGCACTAAGCCTTTAAGCATGCTATGTATCCTGTCTGAGCCTCTGTTTCCCCACTTAAAGATGAAGTCAGTTACAGAACCTAGGTCCAAAGTAGTCCTTGATCACTGCTAGGAGGTGTTCCCTGCCTGGTCAACGTGGGCACCCAGTAAATCAGAGCTGCGTGTGGTGGTTCACACCTATAATCCTAGCACTTTGGGAGGCTGAGGCAGGAGGATCCCTTGAGCACAGGAGTTTGAGACCAGCCTGAGCAACCAACGTAGGGAGACCCCCATCTCTATTTTTTTTTTTGGAGTCGGAGTCTCTCCCTGTCATCCAGGCTGGAGTGCAGTGGCTCAATCTCAGGCAACCTCCACCTCAGGCAATTATCCTGCCTCAGCCTCCCAAGTAGCTGGAATTACAGGCACATGCCATTGCCCCCGGCTAATTTTTCTATTTTTAGTAGAGACGAGTTTTTCCCATGTTGGCCAGGCTGGTCTTGAACTCCTGACCTCAGGGATCCACCTGCCTCAGCCTCCCAAAGTGCTGGGATTACAGGAATGAGCCACCATGCCCGGCCAACCCTGTCTCTATTATTTAAAAAACAAATAAATAAAAGAGACAGAGTCTCACTCTGTCACCCAGGCTTCATGCAGTGGTACGAACATAGCTCACTGCAGCCTCGAACTCCTGGGCTCAAGTGATCCTCTTGTCTCAGCCTACCAAGTAGTTAGGACTACAGGTGCGCACAACCACGCCTAATTATTGTCTTTTTTTTGAGACAGAGTCTCGCTCTTGTCGCCCAGGCTGGAGTGCAGTGACGCGATCTCAGCTCACTGCAACCCTCACCTCCCAGGTTCAAGCAATTCTCCTGCCTCAACCTCCGGAGTAGCTGGGACTACAGGCGCCCACTACCACGCCTGGCTAATTTTTGTGTTTTCAGTAGAGACAGGATTTCACCATGTGCCCAAACTGGTCTCGAACTCCTGGCCTCAAGTGATCTGGCCACCCCGGCCTCCCACTGGGATTACAGGTGTCAGCCACTGTGCCTAGCCTATTTTATAATATCTCTTGAATGAATAAATGAGTCCCTGTTATATCAAATGAGGTAGTGTGCATTTAAAGCATTTAGCATGGTACCTAGCACAAAGTAACTGCTAGTCCCTAGCCCTTTGTCCCACACAAAGGCAGAATGGGGTCCAGTGGAGGGCAGCACTAGCCAGCATCTGTTTCTTCGCACCCCTTCATCAGCACGCACGCACTCATCACTCACCCCTGCCTGTCCTAGACCTGAGTAGTGGCACCCATGCCATCCATAGGCACTACTTAAAACCCATGGGAGAGGTCGGGCACGGTGGCTCATGCCTGTAATCCCAGCACTTTGGGAGGCCGAGCCAGGCAGATCATGAGGTCAGGAGTTCAAGACCAGCCTGACCAACATGGTAAGACCCCATCTCTACTAAAAATACAAAAATTAGCCTGGCATGATGGCAGGCACCTGTAATTCCAGCTACTCAGGAGGTTGAGGCAGGAGAATTGCTTGAACCCAGGAGACAGAGGTTGAAGTGAGCTGAGATCACGCCACTGCACTCCAGCCTGGGCAACAGAGCGAGACTCCATCTCAAAACAAACAAACAAACAAACAAACAAAAAAAACCCATGGGAGAGCACAGCGGTAAAAAGGTAGATAACAGGCCAGGCGTAGTGGCTCGTGCCTGTAATCCCAGCACTTTGGGAGGCCAAGGCAGGTGGATCACCTGAGGTCAGGAGTTCGAGACCAGCATGACCAACATGGAGAAACCCTGTCTTTACTAAAAATCTAAAAATTAGCAGGGCGTGTTGGCACATGCCTGTATTCCCAGCTATTCGGGAGGCTGAGGCTGGAGAATCACTTGAACCCAGGAGGCAGAGGTTTTGGTGAGCTGAGATCATGCACTCCAGTCTGGGCAACAAGAGTGAAACTCCATCTCAAAAAAAAAAAGGTAGATAACAGTCTTACTTCTGAAACAGGAATAGAAGTTTCTTGTTGCACTAATATAGAGTATAGAACTATTACCCTGTACAACTACACTGCCCTCCAGAGTTTACATCCTTGAAGGGGATGGTTTGCCTGGTCCTAGGGAGCCTAGGATTTAAGATTTTACTGAAAATGCCAGAATTGTTCTATCTGTCTTCCCCTTTAGAAAGTTCCTTCTGTTATGGACAACTTACGTCCACTTGTATGCTGGAATGATCTGCAATGTTGGTATTTAATACAATCATAATCTCACTTAGGTATGTGAAAACATTTAGAATGCCAAACAACAGGAGAAGGAGGCTTTGTTTTCAATATAAGATAGTATTAGGATCTCTTACAACTTCCTATTTGGCTTTTCTTACTGAT